>NC_000006.12:157646547-157798062 GCF_000001405.40 Homo sapiens
GGTTGCAGTGAGCTGAGATAGCGCCACTGCACTCCAGCCTGGGTGACAGAGCGACACTCCATCTCAAAAAAAAAAAAAAAAAAGAGGAAACAAAATGTTAGAGAATGTTTCCAGAGCAGCGTGGTCCTCTTTGCTCTTTATACTTAGATTTTGATAGAAGTCTCTATCCACACTTGAATTAAATGTCTCAGGATAGGTCCAGTTACCTTAAACAAAAGCTTGAGAAAATAGGTTGTGATAAGACACATGAGATAAGAGAATATTAATACAGTTATTTGTACTTGGTAGCTACAAATATTAGAATATGCAAAACAGACCATTTTGGTCACAAGAAGAGGCTGAATTATTTCAGTCTGTAAATTAGCAATTAGGGGAACCATTTCACCTACCATTCATTTAATTATTATTTAGGGCACTAAATGTGAGTATGAAAAAAATCTCTGCTGGCTTATATGAGATGGCCTTTTAGTACCATGTGGTACAAATAAAAGATGACTGTCCCTGAGAATGTTATTCTTTCCCTATTCTAACCTGCTGTTTTAGGACATTTCCAAGTTTGGAGTAAATGCCCGTTTTCTTTAAGAAAAATACCTCCATTTCTTTGGATTAAAGATGATTTGCATTCTTTATGAGCCTCTCATGGTCCAGCTCACCTCAACTGTGCGTTGGTGTGGAAGATATTGCTTGTTACTGACTTTCCTTTTCTTTCAGATTAAAGGATCCTGGTCAAATAAAAGAGGTAAAGAAAATTACAATCCCTACAGCTACGGAAATATCTTTACCAACTGCTGTGTTGCCCTGTGT
Organism: Homo sapiens; assembly: GCF_000001405.40. Classification (NCBI taxonomy): domain Eukaryota; kingdom Metazoa; phylum Chordata; class Mammalia; order Primates; family Hominidae; genus Homo; species Homo sapiens. The sequence goes on from NC_000006.12 coordinate 157,647,352, forward strand.
GGGCCCATCTCACCAAGGTAAGACTCAGGACGCATCGTGCTCTTCAACAGACCTTGGAAAACCGAATGCCTCGGCCGTTAGCACAGGCCGCCCGCCCTGGTGGAATGGGTCGCCGCCACCACGTGACCACTTTGTGCCGCGTGGATGTGGCCTTCGTGAAATCGAGATCTGGCTGTTTGTCGTGTCACACTTCACACCTTTTTTGATCTTCAATTGAATCTGTGTCTGATTGGGGGGAAATTTCCTAAAGCCCAAAATAGAGAGACAGATGCCTGTGGCCCTGCTAATGACTGAGGCCCTGCTAATGACTGAAGGTGCGTGCAGGGAGCTGTGGTTAGCATCGTCAAGGAGACAGGACACATGTGCAGGAAGGAAGCAGCCAGAAGTCTGAGGAAACCAGTTTCGAAAGTTGATTTGCACACAATAGAAATGTTCATAGGGAGAAAGCCACATGGGCCGCAGTCGTTGATACTGTGGTCATGGTAATAATGACGATGACACGAACCATGGCAGTAGCTGACCTTTATTGAATCTGTGTTAAGCTCTGCTCTAAGTTCTTTATCTGCATTAGCCTTTCACAAGCTCACTCTGTACCTATAGGTAGGCACCGTTATATCCCATTCTATGGATGAGGAAAGTGAGGCACAGAGTTTAAATAATGTGCCCAAGATCACACAGCAAGTAAATGCCGGCTAGTCAGGACACACACCCAGGCCACCCAATGTCAGAGCCAGTATGTGCCCACTGAGGCACGCTGCCTCCAAGTCAGAGTGTACAAGTTCAAAATACAGATTCTTTGTGAGTTACACCTATGGAGAATATTTTCAACTGATAAATCAAACCATGATCAACAAATAGATATTGAGCAAATCTACCTGGTCTCTAGAATGAGTTTCCAAGTTATTACTGCTTCCTACCTTTTGGTCTCCAAATGTGTAAAACAGGGAGAAATGACAAAAGCCACCATGACTGTGTCCAGGGCAGACCCACTGTGCACCCAGACCTTACCGATATGCGCTTGTGGAATGCAAACTTCATTTGATTATCAGCCTCAGTGAATCCTCATTAGAGAGGTAAAAAGAATTCAAGAAAAAAAAAATCCAAGCATATATTCCAAGGCCATCTGTGCACTGGCATTGAGTTATTACTTTGAGTCACCGTGGTGCTACTGCAAAACTAGAACTTGATCATTTTCTAGCTTTAGCCTAGAAACTTGGGAGCCCAGCATGCCACTGTCCTCCTGAACTAGGGGTCCTCAAGGCACCCCTGACCTCCTCAGAGGCTTAGAAAGGGCAGGCGAGGATCCTGGGTTAGAGGAGCTGCTCAGACCACAGGGGTCAGACATGCCTGGGCAGGTGCCAGCTCCTCTTGAAGAAACCTCCTGACTCACCTAGGGATCCTTCTGGGAGCTCTTTAAGCAGAAAGTCTCTCAGGCAATGGCTTGATTTGTCACAGCGTCCATGGTGCTTCCCGCTGGCTTGTTTGTGACTAGCAGGGCAGGTCAGGAAACAGTAAGAGCCAGGGAGAGCTGGCCTCTTTCCCCCACCTGCAGTGCGTGTGTGGGTCTAAGAGAGGATGCCGAGGCCTCAGTTCTGTCCAAATCTCCCTTCTTGTTCCTGAGTCCTTCATCTGCATATGGCACGGCTTTATGTTGTTTAGAGACCACAAACTGTCACAACCAAAATTATTTCCACCACTGGGTTAAATGTGCTGTTTTGGCTGGATTGGGGCTGTATCTTTTCCAAAATCCATGTTCCTTTGGGTGGGGCATTTCTTGAGGATGGTCCTACCCTGAGAAGTGTTTGAATCGTTTGTTAAAAGGTAAACTGAAGGACATTAAAATAGTGAAGAGTGTATTTGAACAGACGGCGATTCATGAATCTGGCAGCTCCAGACTTGAAGCGGTGTGGGGCAGCACTGAAGGGGCTCCGGGGGAGGCTTTTATTGGGTGAAGGCAGAGCAAGACAAATAAGACATTTGCTTTGTTAAAGTGGGGCCGTAGCTTTCCTTGGGTCATTCTGGAGCTTGGGCAGGGACATAGGCCACTCATAGGCTTCCGGGCTGGCCCCAGGCAGATGTGAGGGGGTGATGCCTACCTTTGCCCCTCCCTCTCGTCCCCTCTTGCCTTGCCCTTCCGCTGTGCCACCTCGACCCAGCCCCTGTGCCCTTAAGTGGGCCAGGGCCTTCCCGGGCATCCCGGCCAGGCCTACCCACTGAGAGTGTCCCCTTCCTCGGACCCCTGGGCCCAGACCCCTGTGCTTGAGTTGCCCCTCCTGGGTTCTTAAATGGTGCTGTGCCATGCAAATAAGGCAGAGAGAGTTCTTGTGTTCCCCTCTGGGAGTCTGCTTACCAAGAGTTCAGAGACCCACATTCGGTTCCTGCAGTGTTCCCAGAGGCAGGGATGGCAGCTGGCTGGGTATGGCCAGGTTTGGAGGAAGGAGTCCTCATATAAGCCTGGCGGGAGGAATGGAAAATTGGGAACACAGAAAGGCCCAAGGAATGGTCAGTGTCACACCAGACTTGGGCTGGTTCTGTGGGTCATGTGGCCACCATTGACTGCCCATGTGCGGTGGAGCCAGTTCCGTGCCAGGCGCTGGGGGTGCACGGGAGAGGGGCTGGCTCTGTGCCAGGCGCTGGGGGTGCACGGGAGAGGGGCTGGCTCTGTGCCAGGCGCTGGGGGTGCACGGGAGAGGGGCTGGCTCTGTGCCAGGCGCTGTGGGTGCACGGGAGAGGGGCTGGCTCTGTGCCAGGCACTGGGGGTGCACGGGAGAGGGGCCAGCTTCTGGGCAGCAGGGACTGTCCATGGGCAGGCAGTGCACAGTGAGGTGCGTGGGCCGCCCAAGAGTAGGTCTAAGCTGTGAACTCTCCCAAGGGTGAGAAGGAGTTCGGAGGAGGAAGCGGTGGGGAGGAGCAGGGTTTTGAAAGACAAAGGGGGCAGCTGTGCAGGGACCCGAGGGTGAGGGTCCTGGCTCATCCCAGGAAACACTGATGGGGTTAATGTCAGGAGTGGGGGGCGAAGGGAGCTGGGCCGAGAACCAAGAGGTGAGACAAGACAAGGGGCGAGTCCAGGTGAGGAGGAGAAGGACGGGCAGAGCCTCATTGGGCCGTGTCCAGAGCTTCGCAGCACTGGGAGCCCAGCTGCTACATTAAACAGGCTGGACGCGATGGGATGCTGGCCGAGAACGCTTGATTTTTTTCTCCCTGCTGTCCCTTCAGACTCTTTTGATGACCTAGTTCTTTTTCCGCTCCTGGATAAAATCCCCTGCAAGCCCCTTAATTTCTCTTGTCATTAAAAAAAAAAGAGAGAGAGAGAGCAAGAGAGAGCACGTCAGAGCACTTTGCCTCCAAAATAGTGTCATTTCAGTGCATCAGAACTGCCAAGTTTATTGACAGTTAACACTTCCCATCACTTCACCTGACCCTGGTTGGGAGGACTGTGGGGATCCCTGTTTCCCTTGAGCTCTGCCCCCACCCATCAGCTAGTCCTGTCTCCCCACCAGCTTGCTGGCCAACAGTGAGGAGGGGATTTGGGACAGGGGGTCGGTGCTTTTGGTCCCCCACCAATGCTCTAACCTGGTGGGGTCTGAGAGCACCTGACTGAGAATTTCCTCTGAGGACCCCCCATTGCAGTTCCCTGATGGAGACACCTGCCACTGCAGCCCCAGGTGGGCCCGCGGCCATGAGCCGTGCATAGGCCTCTCTGTGGGGCTCCCTCTGCGGCTCTCTTGGGCTGAGTCCTGTAGTAGTTTCCTAGGGCACTGCAGTCCAACAAGTGCCATGAAATGGGAGGGTTAAAACAACAGAAAGTTGTTCTGTTATAGTCGGAGGCTCGAAGCCTTAAATCAAGGTGCTGGCAGGGTTGTACCCGCCCCGAGGCTGGGGAGAACCCTTCCTTGCCTCTTCCTGGCACCTGGTGGGGCCATCAGCCCTCCACGTTCCTTGGCTGGCATATGCTTCATCGCAGGGTAGCCTCTGTCGGCCCATGGTGTTCTTCCTGTGTGTCTCTGTACCCTCACCTGGCATTCTCTTCCTCACCTCTTTCTCTTCTTATAAGGACACCAGCCACACTGGACAAAGGCCCACCCCAATTGAGTGTGACCTCATCTTAACTTGGTTACATCTGCAGAGACGCTACTTGCAAGTAAGGTCACACTCGCAGGTACCAGGTTAAGACTTCATATCTTTCTGCACAGTTCAACCCGTGACGTTCCCTCAAGACCTCCTTTTTTTTTTTTGAGATGGAGTCTCACTCTGTTGCCCAGGCTGGAGTGCAATGGCATGATCTTGGCTCACTGCAACTTCTGCCTCCCAGGTTCAAGTGATTCTCCTGCCTCAGCCTCCCAAGTAGCTGGGGTTACAGGCATGTGCCATCACGCCTGGCTAATTTTTTTTGTATTTTTAGTAGAGGTGGGGTTTCACCATGTTGACCAGGCTTGTCTCGAACTCCTGACCTCCGGTGATCTGCCCGCCTTGGCCTCCCAAAGTGCTAGGATTACAGGCGTGAGCCACTGCGCCCGGTCCCTCAAGACATCATGACACTGGCTCTCTCCCATGAGATCCACACCTGGACCTTCATCCAACCCCAGGTCCCAGCCCCATCCCTGGCTGTCACCCGCGCTAGAGGGCAGAACACCCTTCTCCAAGACAGCCTTCTCTGCTCTTTTCCCCTCGGACCCTTTGTACCTTTGAAGGGAGGGTTGCAAAGCTGGTTTGAGAACCCCCTTTGACATCCTGCAGAGGAGGTCAGGCACTTTTCTTTGAAAGGTGGAGATTCTTGTTGCCTGTTGTTTTTTCTAAACCTATGGAGTGTTCAGCTGGAACTGAGGCAGAGAGTCCCATTTGAGGATCCCGTCACAAGTGGTTTTTCTGGCTTATTGTTCTGCCACTTGAAGACCTGAAGGCAGTAGTCATGAGGTTAACTCCTGTGTTCCACAGGACTGACACGTAGGAGGCCCTGCTTTCTGAGAAAAGCAGCCCAGGTAGACAGTCCTCAGAGGCGGGGATGGGCATGGCCTCTGGATACACTTTTGTAGTTTGCAAAATGCAGAGCACCTGGGGAAGATTCTGCGCTGTGGGTGTGCCTGGTCCCACACTGTGGGGGCTGCTCCAGGGATACTCACTTATTAGCTGAACCTCCTGTTGCTCCTTACACTTCTGCCCTTAGACTCAAGGTCAATGCTGAGCCTTCACTGGGGAGAAAAAAAAGGCAACTTTACCCCACCTTCTAATGAGCCCAGCACCGTAGAGTACAGAAACAGATGCCTTTGGAAGCACTACTCAGAAACTTGTCTGTGGGACAAGGGACCCATTTTTATTCATTCCATCAAGAAGAATTTTGCGCAGCACCCGCTGGGTGTCAGCCTCAGAGATACAGATATTGAGACGGCCTGCCGGTCCTTGCCCTCCACGCTCTGTGACAGATGTGGAAGAGGGGCTCTAATCCCCATCTCTGTGTGCCAGGCACAGGGCCAGGTACCATGGGGGGCCACAAGATGAAGACTCTGCCCTTGGGAGCTTGATTGCAGGCAGAAAGCGATGTATGGGGCTGAGAATCAGAGAAGGGGAGAGAGGAGGAAGGGGGCTAGGGGCAAGAGCAGGGGCTTTTGAACCTGGCCTTGAAGAATGGAGAGCAGAGGGGCAGGAAAAGTGACTTAGGAAGAGAGGGGGGAAGAGTCCAAACAAAAACACAGAGATAGCCAAGCAGAGTGCATGCTGGCGGGGCTGTGGCTCTGTTCCCACGTGGCAGGCGGTCATTTCCCACACGCTACACTGGCACTAGCAGGTACTCGAAACAACGTTTGCTGAGTGAATGTAGTAAGAAGACGTGCAGTTGAGGCTGGAGAGGAGCGCTGGGGACAGATGGTGACAGGTGGGGGTGAGACCAGCTTAGAGGCTCCCACAGTTAGTAGACAAGAGGGAGATGCTGTCATCTGAGCAGGCGACACGCCCTTGGCCTGGCGAGGAGGCAGGCCATGCCGTAGTCATGTTTAAAGGGAGAAGGGACAGAATTTGGTCACTGATTATACACGAAAGTGAGGAGAGGCATAGTCTAAGTTGCCTGAGGTGGGCCTGTCACGGGAAGAGGGAGCCCCGACGCGGAACCTGAGATAGTGCTGCTGCATCTCTGGCTTTTTATTCACTCTCTTCCTGCTGTGTTTTCTTTTCTCTCGCAGCCTGATCGACAGAAGAGGGTACATCCAGCCCGACACGCCGCAGCCAGCAGCACCCTCCAATGGCATCACCATGTACGGGGCCACGCAGTCACAGAGTGACATGGTAGGAGTGGGGGCCACTGCTCCCTGCGAGGGCTTCCCTTTTGCTTGTGTGCTCACTAACAGGCCACCAAGCAGCCTTCCTAGCAAACCTCCCCAGGAGCGGGGGCAGCCCACAGCCGCCCACCCCATGACTACTGCGCTCAGACAGGAGGCAAGGCGTTAAACTAAGGCAGTAGCCCAGGAAGCGTATGGCCACTGAGTTTGGTGTGCTTGTTCACAGTTGCGCAGGGGAAGTCCACACACGCGAGCTGTCTGCCAAAACAGCTTGAGGCACGTGGATGGAAGCCCCTTATACAGGATCAGGCTGTTGTTACACATCCCAGGCAGGGCTGGGCTCATGATCTTCCATTTCCCTTTCCGTCCCTTGGTCCCCATCTGTACTGACCCCTCTTCCACTTCCTCAAGCGTGCAGTGGCTGGTGCTGCCGGTTCCCCTGCTTCCGCCCAAAGTCTGGGATCAGCCCTGTGTAAAATAGCGCAAATGATCAGACCAGGTGTACGTTCACTTGCCACAAAACTGACCAGTGCCTCTCCAGAGCGTGTGCACATCTCACGCTTTCTTCGACGGGTGGACATGCTTTGCTTGCAGTGTGTAGGTTTCTAGCGTGCAGGTTTCCAGCGTGCAGGTGGAGATCTGGGGGAGGGGGCAGGAGTCGCTCATGGACACCAGGAATCTCAGCCTGGCCTGGTCCTGACCATCAGTGTCTTAAGATTCCCTAGGTGTCTGGAAGGCAATGGCCTCTCTTTATTTGGAACAAATCTCCCTAAAGTTAGAAGTTCCATGTTTCTGCAGAGAACCTTGTCTTGTGGTGGTCCTGTGCTGTGTGCTCTTTCTATAGCTGAATCACCCACTCCAGAGCATCCATGACAGATCAGAGACCTGACTTTCAGGTAGACTGGACGTGGGCAGCAGCCCAGAACACCTTGCTTCTGGGTGCAAAGAACTGCAGGGTGGAAGTTGGCAGCCTCAAGACAGTCCTGAGGCTGCCAAGTTCCACAGCTGCGTGAACTAGACTCAGCCCCCAGCAGAGATGGCTGGGGTTTACGTGTTGGTGGTGGTGGTGTCTTGTTCGTATTGCTTTGCTCTGCTTTACTAATAAAGCGTTTTCTCTCTCTTTTTTTTTTTTGGAGACAGAGTCTTGCTCTGTCGCCCAGGCTGGAGTGCAGTGGCATGATGTCAGCTCACTGCAACCTCTGCCTCCCAGGTTCAAGCGATTCTCCTGCCTCAGCCTTCCAAGTAGCTGGGACTACAGGTGCATGCCACCATGCAGGCTAATTTTTGTATTTTTAGTAGAGACAGGGCTTCGCTATGTTGGCCAGGCTGGTCTCGAACTCCTGACCTCAGGTGATCCACCTGCCTCGGCCTCCCAAAGTGCTGGGATGACGGGCGTGAGCCACTGTGCCAGGCGTGTTTTCTTTCGAAGCAAGTATGTTTACTTCAAGGTCCTTGCCGCTCCACTGTGTAAGGGATTTGGGGAAACAGCTTGTTTGGTCATAACTCATCCACTCAAGGGACGCTTTAAGGGTCACTCCCCTGTATTTTTCAGAAAAGGAAACTGAGAACAGAGGGAGGAAGAGACAGGCTCGCAGGAAAGGGGATTACATTCATGGAGATCAGCTGTGTTCAGGGCGCGTGGTGGTCAGCACCTCATTTAACCCTAAAGCAACAGTGGGAAAAGGGGACACTTGTCCCCACCTTTTTTAAGTAGGAGAGATTGATCATCCATCTACCCAAGGCCACACAGACTCTAATTTGTGGGTTCAAAACTAGCCTGGCGACTCCAGTGCCCACGTTCACTTCTTACACTGCATGCCTGCAAGCGCACAGGCATTAAAGACCAGATCTGTGCTCAGAGGCTTTCTGCACCATTCGCAGGTGCACAAGAAGTGCCCTGTAAGGACAGAGCTCACCAGAATTCTGGCCGCAGCATACGTTGATCGTTTCTCTGATGTGTGCATGTGTCTACACACAATAACCTCTCATTCAATCAGCCACTCTACCTGGGTTCCCTCTGTGTGTTGAGGACTAGACTAGGAGATAGAGATACAAAGTTTGTGGGGTACAGCTCATCCACCTTCAAAGGGGTCAGCAGTCAGGGGGCAGTATGTGAGCAGATACATGAAGGAAGCATTAAGAACCTTCAGTAGAATTGACCACCGATGGCAAATGTCCTTGTCAAAACCAGTGGACTTATGTTCTTCTTACCCTGTGACCCCCATAATACTGGGCTCACCAGGTTCTGCAGGGTGCTGATCTCACCAAGCTCTACACTTTGTTGAGATTAAGAAAATTAACAAAGGCTGTTTAATGGTGCTCTCACCAGGAAGCCACTTCAGGTCAAGACCAGATGGGACATAATTCATCAATTCAGCAAACAGTTATTGAGCACCTACCCTGTGCCTCTGTGACAGAGAAGGTGGCTTTAACCATGGAAATGGGGAGGTCGTTTTACTCCATATGTGAAATCAGATTCCCCTCTGGAGTCCATTCATTCTACACCTGCACCAAGACTCTGGACATGGCAGAAATGCTAGCGTTCATTTGCCTATTCCTTTAGGAGTCACCTTCCAAATAACTAGTACCGCTGAAGGCACCGGGCTGTGATGGAAGGGTTGTTGGAAGAGGACACTGCAAAGGTTAAGAAGCCTGTCGCAGTGCAGCAGCTGCCTGTTGGTCACCCCTTGTCACTCAATTCAGTGTAAGGCTACTTTTCTTTTCTTTTTTTTGAAACAGTGTCTCGCTCTGCCACCCAGGCTGGAATGCAGTGGCATGATCTCCACTCACTGTAACCTCCGTCTCCCAGGTTCAAGCCATTCTCCTGCCTCAGCTTCCCGAGTAGATGGGATTACAGGCGCCCGCCACCACACCCAGCTAATTTTTGTATTTTTTAGTAGAGAGGGGGTTTCACCATGTTGGCCAGGCTGGTCTGAAGCTCCTGGCCTCAAGTGATCCACCAGCCTCTGCCTCCCAAAGTGATAGGATTACAGGCATGAGTCACCGCGCCCAGCCTGGAAAGCTACTTATTAAGGCATCTGTTAATCTGTGGGCTTGAGCACTGTGTCAGGAAGCTTGAAGATACCAAAAAAAAAAAACAAAAAAAAAAAAAACAAGACTCCTTGCCCTCCTGTTCTCTGCTGTGACTGAGGATGAGACAGTCTGAACACCCCAGGAAAGAGCTGCATGCGACATCACCATGCCACTGAGCACCAGGCAGATCAGGAGGAGCTCTGGACCTGGAAGCAGAGCCTCTTCACTGCTGGCCTCAGGCTGATGGCATACAGAATCATGGTGGGATTGAGTAAGGACCTGCGGCCCTGGTCACCTGCCCAGGGTGACAGTGCACTCTCTGCCATGCATACCTGAGTGTAGGTGGCTTCACATCTCCTGTAGCATCTTCTTGCCATCCGTACACACAAAGGGTATTTGTATTTTTTTTTTTTAAGACAGGGTCTCACTCTGTCGCCCAGGCTGAAGTGCAGTGGTGAAATCTCAGCTCACTGCAACCTTCACCTCCTGGTCTCAAGGTGATCCTCCTACCTCAGCCTCCTGAGTAGCTGGGACCACAGGCATGTGCCACCATGCCCAGCTAATTTTTGCATTTTTTGTAGAGACAGTTTTGCCATGTTGCCCAGGCTGGTCTCGAACTCCTGACCTCAAGCGATCCACCTGCCTCAGCCTCCCAAAGTGTTGAGATTACAAGTGTAAGCCACTGCACACGGCCATTCATTCCTTTACTCAGGCATGCACAGATCTTTCCAGAGAGCTTCCAGGGGAAGGCTTGAAAGCACTGTTGGGTATAAAGAAGTGAACAAGGCTCACATGCACCTGGGAGCTGTTCGGTACAAAAACACTCCAGCGTCACAGCCCCAGCGAATCCATGCCCAGTGAGTCTAGGCTCAGGCACATGATATGTGCACGAAATCTCAGGATCAAGGTCTTGCTTTAAAGCCCATGGACCCCATGCTAAAGAAGCCCTCCATCAGTGAGTACCATGGTCTACCGCCTCCATACCAGAGACAAAACTGTAAGAAATCTCAACATCCTGGGAGTCATACGCGTATAAGCACTACTCCGGATTTGGTAATAGCACAGAATTGTATAGTCAAGTCCCCTAAGCAGGATGTTCCAGCCAGTGATAAAAGCTGTACAGAGACATCTGTTCCACATGCTAAATGCTTTCGAGTCAGCCAGCAGGCTTTAAGATGCCTTTTTATCCCCATCTGGAAGAGGAACATTGGAGATGGGGATTCACTGTGTGGAGACCAGACTGCTACCGCTTACTAGAAGCATGACCTTGATGAGTTGCTTAACCTCTCTCTGCCTCAGTGTTTTCATCTATAAAATGGGAACATTGATATTCTTACCTTGTAGGGTTTCTATGAGGATTAAGTTAAGACATGTCAAGCACTTAAAACCTTGCCTAGTAGAAGAAAAGTACTATTTAAGTGTCGGCTATTATTATTATCCCCCTGAGACCCATGAGTGGCAAGATGAGCGAGCTCAACTGTACCCTCTTGGAGCAACCGGAAAATAATAGAGATGACTGGCATGAGGGAAAGAGCCCAGAATGGGAACCAGGGAATGAGAGCTCCCATTCTGGCTCCTGCCAGTTAGTTCCCTGATGATTGGCAGGTCACTCTTGCCTCACTGGTCCTCAGTTTTCCTCATCTGCAAAATAGGAGGTGGGATTAATTTGTACCTAAAGCCCCCTTTTAGCTGTGAGCCTTTTGTGAGTCTCTGATCCTTGCAGCTCCACCAGGAGATTAGGAGGGCAGAGACAACATCTCAGTCCACACATGCCAGAAAGAGCTCTCCAAACCCCAGAAGAAGGTAAACACCGTGACTCTCAGCTCCTCCTCTCCTCCCACCCACCCTGACCAACAGCCCCCAAACTGACTAAGCCCGCACTTGACACAGGATTGGGGGTGTGCTGTGGGGCTATGCGCAGTCTGGCCGTCATACCAGAACTTTCTTGAGAGTAGGAGTGTGTGTTGCTTTTCTTATTTGTCTCCTATTTCTTGAATTTATGGGATAAATCCTACTTGGCCATGGTATATAATCCTTTTTATATGTTGCTAAATTCAGTTTGCTAGTATTTTGTTAAGGATCGTTCTGTCTGTATTCATAAGGGAATTGTCTGTAGTTTTATTTTCTCGTGAAGTCTTTGTCTGGTGTTGGTATCGGGGTAATACCGGCTTCATGGAAGGAGTTGAGAAGTGCTTCTTACTCTTCTGTCTCGAAAAGTTTGTGAAGAACTGCTGTTAATTCATCTTTAAAGATTTGGGACAATTTGCCAGGAAAGCCATTTAGTCTTGAACTTTCTCCATGGGTATTGTTTTGATTACTAATTCACTCTACTTATTATAGGTCTATTCAGATTTTTTACTTTTCCCTTGGGTCAGTCTCAGTGGTATGTGTCTTTCTAGGAATTTATCCATTTCATCTAAGTTATCTAATTTGTTACCGTTTTCTCATCTGTCAATATTGTTTTATTATGAAAATAGATGAGGGAAGCTTAAGGACTGAAAAAGTTAAATTGAAAATGAGAATAATTTGTAAAACTGGAGGGGAAGAGAAGAAGCAGTCAAAGACTTCAGTGAAAGTCAAGAGGCACTTGAAGTAAGCCCTGAAGGGGAGAAATTGGTATTTTGTATTTTTTAAACATTCTGTGAAATGCACATGCCAGCCGAGAGACCTGGGAACCTCTAGCAGAGCGAGTTCCAGCGTGGTCTCCGGGCCCCGCACTGTTGCTTTGCTTTCTCCCGCTTTGCGTCATGTTAGGGCCATGAGAAATACGCGTACCAATTAATTTCCAGGAATTGTCAAAACACGGACAAATGAGCTGAAATATTTCAAGACTGACAACAGTACAAATTCTCTGGGGCCACTGTGACATTCCTCTCCTTTGATTTGCTTCAGCTGCTAATAACAGACATCCCAGGCAACAAAGACCATCACAGACTAAGCCAGCACATCATGACCAGCAGTGCCTGGCCGAAAGGGTCCCGAAGCCCTAACGGTTTTCCGGTCTCTGATGCAGTGATAGACATCCAGGGCACCCACCCTCTGCGCCTTGGAAAGCCTGCAGCACCGTCGCTAAGAGCAAGTGGTCTGGCAAGTTGCCAAGCAATCCGTCGTCTTCCTTTCTACTTATTTCCTGTTTTGGATATAGTTAGAGCTCAAAATCAATAAAAAAGTTCTTGCGTTCCAATCCCCAATTAGACAGATGGGAAAACAAATACACAAATCCGTTAGTGCTGAATTAGTCAGAATCGCAAGCTGAACTTCAAGCCATTCTAAGAACGGCACCAAGTTTATTTGCTCTAGAACCATGCTGTGGATAGGTGGGTCTCTGCTGAGGTTTAGCGCTTTAGAATGGACAGAGCGTTGCTAATATTGATACTATCATTGCAAGAGTTGCCTCACTTAATCCCCACAGCAACCTGCAAGATAGCCTCCTTTTACAAAGGATGAAACTGAGACTTGGATATGTTGAGTAACTCGCTCACAGTCACACAGCTAGAGATGCCAGGCCCATGTACTTTCTTACTTTCTTTTTTTCTTTTTTTTTTTTTTTTCTTTTTAGACGGAGTCTCACTCTTTTCGCCCAGGCTGGAGTGCAGTGGCACAGTCTCGGCTCACTGCAACCTCCACCTCCCGAGTTCAAGCGATTCTCCTGTCTCAGCCTCCCAAACAGCTGGGATTGCAGGTGTGCACCACCACGTCAGGCTAATTTTTGTATTTTTAGTAGAGATGGCATTTCACCATGTTGGCCAGGCTGGTCTCAAACTCCTGACCTCAGGAGATCCACCTGCCTTGGCCTTCCAAAGTGCTGGGATTACAGGCATGAACCACTGCGCCTGGCCCCGGATGGTTTCTATTACATGTCATATTTCCATCTGAAAAGCCCTCAAGCTGGAACCAGCTGACCCTCTTCAGACCTGGCCCTATGTCTAGGAGCTGAGGGATAATTTATTACAATCTGTCGCTCCTCAGCCCAGGACACTCATTAGAATCACAATACTGATCTCTGCATCCAGTTAAGTCAGAATCCTAGGGTGGGCAGCCAGGCCTTGGCAGTGCTATGGGCCTGGAGATGACTTTAATTGGCAGCCACTATTGAGAACCATCGACACAGCCTTCAAACTCTCTTGTTCTCTCCAAAAGTTTCGGTTAAATGGAATGATTTTGAGCCATTATTTGCTTTGGCACAAATAAGTTTCTTTTATCTTGAAAAACCTTAGGTCAGTTTCATTCAAGTAATACATGGTCTATTCAGAGAAATGGGTATATGGAGGATTTGAACGGAATGTGCTAGAATGTGACAGACTGTTGGGGGAGGGGCAGGGGAGCTTTGACAAAGAGCACTTAGGTTTCAGGCAAAGCTTCCTGGAGGAGACGACATCTGAGAATTCGCCACCCAAAGGTGGAAGGGATGTTTCAAGCCAACAAAGCACAGGCATGTGTGGGGCGAAACGTCCTGGTGTTTCAAGAGGGGGTGCAAGTTGGGGGAAGTTGACTTAGGCATGTGGAATGTGGGTGCCCATGGATACCTGGGGGTGGTGGGGAGCAGCCCAACAGGTAGCTGGATGGAACACTCAGGGAAGGTTTGCTTCCTGTGTTGTTGGAGAAATGGTCTGGTTGGTAGAAAGTCACTTGGAAACAGTGGAGACGTGAATCTGTTTTGTCAGCTAGCCTGTAAAAAACCTGTAAGACTTACTCATGTTTGTCATCTGAGATACTAATCCAATTTCATCTTACATGCTGGAAGATTATTTTTTGAAATCAGCATTCATTATATTTTCCTTTCTCTGTGCCCACCTCTGCCAGCTGTGTCCCCACCAATTCAAGGGAAGTTTCTTCTTGGTCTAATTGGACACCAGTAAGAACAACAGAATAAGATAATCCTGAAAGATGATGGAAGGAAAAGCTTTGCAAATAGCTTATGCAGTGGGGAGTGGCAGAGAACAGCTGTGGGGTCAGAGCACCTGGGCTGCCTCTGACCTTTGCTGGCCCTGACACTTTGGGGCTGGGTGATCTTGGGCAAGTCACTTAATCCCAAGAGCCTTAAATTCCTCAACTGTAAAATGAAGAAAGTTATACTGAGGTTCACCTCCCTGGCCTGTAGTGAGGATTGACTGAGATTCTATTTCCTCTTGCCATTACCAGTTTATGACCTAATAAACTGGAGGAGCTTTTTTTGTTTTATTTTTTTGAGACGGAGTCTCGCTGTGTCGCCCAGGCTGGAGTGCAGTGGTGCAATCTTAGCTCACTGCCACATCTGCCTCCTGGGCTCAAGCAATTCTCCTGCCTCAGCCTCCCAGGTAGCTGGACTGCAGGCATGCACCACCATGCCTGGCTAATTTTTGATAATCTTGGAAAAGCATAAGCCAGGACCCCAAATCAGAACTTTGTGCATGGAGTAATGGAAGAGTTATTGTCCCCAGACATGGCACACCAGATTGCAAATTAATAAAGACAGAGAATTATATTTATATAGAGCTTTGCAATTTACAGAGCACTGAGACATACATTTTCTAACTTACCCCTTTATTTTATTTTATTATTTTTTTGAGACAGAGTCTCACTCTGTCGCCCAGGCTGTAGTGCGGTAGCACGATCTCTGCTCACTGCACTCTTGACCTCCCGGGTTCAAGCGATTCTCCTGCCTCAGACCCCCACATGGCTGGGATTACAGGTGCGCGCCATCATGCCTGGCTAATTTTTGTATTTTTAGTACAGACAGGGTTTCACCATGTTGGTCAGGCTGGTCTTGACCTCCTGACCTCAAGTAATCCGCTCGCCCTGGCCTCCCAAAGTGCTGGGATTACAGGCGTGAGCCCCCGCGCCCAGCCTGGAGGTGGTTTTTAAACGTTCAGTTGAATGTATGTGCAAATTCCCCTCACAGGGGCTCGCACACAGGAGGCTCATAACAAATATTAATTTGTTCCAACTTCTTTTCCTCATTCCTTCCGTCCTCCAATTTTGCCACATCTCCAAAGACCTCCACCCTGGATGTAAAACTAGGAGCTAGAGGGAAGGAGTTCTCTTTGATGTAGTGACATGTCATGGTTCCTTGAAGTTATGGCCATGGTGGGATGAAATTAATCTGTGAACCCAGAGACAGATGTCATGGACATTCAAGCCATCAGACACTGTAGGCAAGTGCCTATGCACTTTTCCAGGAACTATAAAAAATTTTAAGACCTGGAAAAAAATTACAAGCTCTAAAACATGAAAAGAAAACTGCAAAATCAAAATTGATAAATGTGTAATGTCTATGAGACACATGAATGTGTTAACTTCATTAATTGTTAAATTTAGCACTCATGAAAATTTTATGACAGTTTAGAAATGATTTGTAGGTTGGGTTTTTCTTACTTCATCAGAATCCCCAAGCACACATATGATTACATGGAAATCATTACCAATTACAAAGTAAGTTGCTCATAGATGGATAAATTTAAAAGTCTAATTAGCTTGGAGTCCCATGCCCTCCCTACACTGCCTTTGCTGTGAGAAACCCAGGTTGCTTCTGGAAGAAGTCCTTTTGGTCTCAAGGCTTCTACCCCCCTGGGAGTGCCCCAAGCGCCATGAGAACATCGGCAGGAGAGGATGAGATGTGTTCTGTGTGGCCCCACAGGTCACATCTAGGACCAGAGAGTGGGCCTGGGATTCAGACTCTACTCAATCCAAGAGGGAACAGCCCAGGACGCAGAGCTCCTAGTGGACAGGAGTCCCCACCCAGAGATGTCAGACTTGGGACAGGGAGCATCTCCTAGCAATGCTGGACAGAGGACTTCAGCATTGGTGGCAAGGGCCGAACATCGACCTTCAGGGTCCTGCCCAGTGGAGGTCCCCTCCAGCAGACTCTTCTCTGTCATCAGGGCTTTGAGCCCATTGTGTCTCATCAACAGGCCAATATCACCAGCAGATAATGTTCCACTGGACTGTACATTTACCGGCCATTCAGGCACCTGGCGAACAGGCCTTTCTGTTGCTTTGGTTCTTTATGGGCTTCTGTGGTTTAGGGACCGTGCTCACAGGACTGTGGAAAGCACGCAAGCAGAGCTGGCGCTAAACGGAACATGAGGCCCGATGCTCTTTCCCGACTCTCCTCTTTGCAGTTCATCCACCTTCACACCGACACGGGGCTCACCACTTCCCAGACTATACCACATGGACATACCACATGCTGTTCCAAGCCTTCCACGTACATAACTTCTGCTAACCCCTCACAGCACCCCTCTGAGCCTGCTACTAATATTATCTCCATTTTATAGATTAACAAAACCGGAGGAGGGAGAGCTTAAGTACAATTTTCTAACAGAAACGTCCTAATTTGACCCCAGAGCCCATGCTTTTAACCCTATGCTATGCACATCAATAAAGAAACATCTACAGGGGTGACTGTGTGTAAAGTGATTTTCAGCCACACCCTTTCAGTCCCCACAACCCATTATCCTTACCCACGCTCCCCTGTGAAAATCTGCCCAGAGGATAGGTCCCTGAGGCTCTGTGCTTTTTCCTTCAATATCTCTCTCTCAGCTCTTCAGACTGGATAATTTCTTTGGATCTCTCTTCATGTTCACTGATTCTTCTGCCATATCCAATCTACTGCTAACTTCATCCAGATAATTTTTCATTTTGCTTATTGTGCTTTTTAGTTGTAAAATTTTGATTTGGTTCTATCATATTTTCCCATTTCTTTGTATGTCTATTAATATTTTATTGACTACAGGACATTTTAGATATGTGGTATAGAGACTCTGGATTTTGTTATCTTACACCAAAGAGTGTTGCCCCTGTTACAGCAAGCAGTTCAGGTACTGGCTAGTCACCTTGAACGTGTGTGGGTTTGTATTATGTTTCGTTAGTACAGATCTGTGGAAAGTTCAAAGTGGTTTCCAGACTTTTTTAATTTGTTGGAACTCAACCTCCAAATTCTGTCTTCTCTGAAGATTGTTTGGTTTCAAGCTTTGTTAGGATGGGTCTAGGGTCTTACTTTAGGGCATGATTCTTACTCCTAAGGCACAGCCTTTCTGATGTCTTTGGGATCCCGGGGATGTGAACAATGTGTTGGAGGTGTTCATGACCTCAGTGTCCCTAATGCACTACTTTTCTCAACCTCGAGTATCTCTATTTCTCTTTCAGCCACATCTCAGCTGCTATCTTATAAGCCTTGGGGCAGGGGATTCTCACCCTGCACATGCCCAGCGCAACCCTTGCCTACAGCCCTTGGAACCTCCACTAGGACTTCTGGTCCTCCTGAACGGACCAGAACGGCATCCTCTTCTCCAGTGTCTTGCCCTGGAGATCCAGCCACTTCAGCTTTCTCGCACTCTGACCTCTGTTTTCTCTATAGCTGAATGACTATGGTCTGCTCAGACTCCAGCTCTGTGCAATGGTTGGGGAACTTTCCCCAAGAAAAGAATTGGTTGGTTGTGGGGCTTACCTTGTGAGTTTCCCTTCCCTCAGGGATTACAGTCTTGCATTGCCTGTGGTGCACTACTGGAAACCATTTGCCTCCTGTACTTTGGCCAGTTTCATATACTCCCTTATATACAGGCTGAATGCTGGTCCAGTATCAGTTCTCCATCATTCCTGGGAGTAGAAGAGAAGCTTTGTCTCTATAATTAGAGGACATGTTACAACCCATGTTGCCATATGTTCCAGACATGGGTTGTTTGCTACCCACTCTACCAACAATAAACACTGAGTTAGCCGTGGGGTGTGACTACTCTGACCTAAAGCTGTTTCCAGTGTTTACTTTGAAGGAGGAGCCTCTGGAGACAGATTTAGCATCAGACTCAGCATGTTCATTTGCAGAGGAGAGAAAGGCTGGTGGGAAAGAGGCCCCAGGTATCTTTGGTCAAACTTTTGCCTGCCATCTTATTTTAGGACCAGTATCCGGATAAGAAAGGTATTTCTTGAATGATAGAAGACGTGCTCCTAAGGAAATATGCAATACTTTAGAAATTAGAGATAAATGCTTTATAATTTTACGTCTAGATAAGCACCCTGATATTGCAGGTCAAAAAATTAGATAAATATTGATAGAAAGCTGGCATCAAAGTACCTAATGAGGTCTTATTTATTATCTCAAAAATGGGAAAATTCAGTGTTAGTGTATCCTCTCTCACAAGTGGGGGATGGGGGTGGTTATTCAGTGCCTATGAAATTTTCTCTCTACTATAAATTCTCAAGGAAGAAAATGTTAGGGAAGCAACAATGTGACATCTAAAGCAATAATGTGATGGGTGTGACCACAGGTGTCTCTTGCCATCTGAACTCCTATGAAATTTCAAGGACCCATACTGGAAGTATGTGCAGATAACCCAGAGCCAGCTGAGGACCACATTTTCATTATTGCTGCTTCCCTCATTATTGGCTTTTATTATGAGCTAACATTGAAGTTCTATCTAGAACAATGTATATGCATGACATACTCACGACATCCAGTTATGATCCACTTTTTAGTGTACACACTTCATTTGATTGTCAAATAATTTAACTTTTGTATAGCATTGGTGTCATCATTTATGCTTATATCTGGCACTTGTTGCTACAAAGGTCCTTTGGGATCGCATGCTAAATGCAAAGATAGTAACATGGTACATAATTGCTACAATTTTGTTTTTAGAAAATCATTTACTGTATTTACTTAACCTAACATTTTAAATACCCCAATCCAGTATCAAAACAAGATTAAACCAGCAGTTGCATGATTTATTAAGCTAGTATTGCAGAAGAACTCTCCATGTAATCTGAAAAATCAAATGTAGTAGGAAAAAAAATAACTTAGGCAAACGTAAATGATAATGTTAAATAAAAGAATACAAAAAAGCTCTCCTTCCAACCTGCACCTGCATTTTAGGTGGACTTTAGAAGACTGTGGTGTTTCTGTAACTGTTAATAAGCATTCATAAGACCCCAGAACAGAGCTTCACAGCCAAGCAGAAATACATGATGCGTAACTCTAATGCTTTTGACAGAATTGGAGCAAAAGAAATAAATAATTTCACTCATTCTTAATTTGTACACAGACCATCTAGAAAGCTCCTAGTTTTGCTTTTAGTAGCATCTGTACACTCGGTTTTTTCAGACAAGACGTCAGCTAGGGTAAAATAAAATGTATTCCTACATGAGCAATTTTATTTGAGAATCTGCAGAAACAGGAATGATCTCTATGGCATTTTTAAATTGTAACATTAAGTGCTAATGTGTATGACTTCCAGACATCTGAAGCCATAAACTTCTTTGCAAGTTACATGCCGACACTTCATTTGGGCAGTAAATCAGCTGTCACAGTGACTTACTGCAATGACAGCAAAAGCTCCAGCACTCCAGACAGTGGGATTTTTATGCTGCCAGCAGAAAGGTCTTTTCATAGACACTCTTACAAGAAATCAAAATTCTATTCTATTAGTATCCAGCATTCGGCCAATTTTTGACCTTAAAAATTGGTAATGTCATATGATTCAACCTAATATTTGATACATATGAACTTTTAAAAGGTTGTTTTGGAATAAAAACATGAGTATCTCAGTTTTCTGTTCAGAGTAGATGGACTATCACTGTCAGATATCTAAGTGGTCAGCTGTTTTTCCTTAGGATTATATAACTGGTTAGATCAATTCAAACATAACCAACGGCTTCTTGGTGTTAGCCGGGATGTATGCACAGCCACCAAATTGTAAGAGAGAAAAAGCGAGCGGTGATGTCTCCCTCTACTGGTGGAAGGTAAAAGGGTCCTCAAATGAAAAGCCAGGAAGGCTGGGTAGCGGAGGGAAAAGGGTTCAAAGTAAAAAAGAGAGAGGTAGAAAGGAAGAAACAAAGAAGAAAAAGAGAAGACGGAAAAAGGAGAAGTGGGAGAGAAATCAATGGGGAAGAAGGATAGAGGGGAAGAGAGTTGGTGAGTCCAGAGAGCAAGAAAGTTAAGTAGAAAAGTCAACAAGAAATGGGCAAATAAGAATTAGAAGCAAAGGTTTAAAAAAAAAAAAAGGGAAGTGTAAGAATATTTGTCATGGCCATCTCCACAGTAACCCTGAAAATACTGGCCATTTTCCCCCATGACTTTCTCAAATGAGAATCACAGCCATGAAGGTTTATGAACCCATCGCCCTTGGAATTCTGGCAGAGTGGAAAATTAGGAAAAGCTCTTTTAAAAAAATCAGGTATCCCTGAGTCATTTGATATCTAAGTTTTTTCTAAGAAGCATATGTTCAAAACAGGCGACGTTTTGAGAGCGTTTAATGAGAATTGTAAATTCCAGTCAGTAGAGTCATTGCACTACCCTTGGTTGGAATCTGACAAAACTCTGCTCTGTCCACGCCAGTGCTCTCTTCTGAGCCAACAGGAGATTTAGATGGGTGACACCCTGCAGAACAGAGCCTGGTCCCCGTGTGCCCCAACTGAGATTTGCCTTCTAAATGGAAATCAGTTTGAATGTGGCAAAGTGTTTTCAAAGCTGTGAACTACACGCAGGACTTAGATACTTAGGTGCCTGATGCCAGTGCCCCTGCCCCCTGCTGTCATCCCAGCAGGAAAGCTGGGGAGGGCACAGAGAGTAGGTTCATTATTACTACAAAAGCAGTCCCTCTATCAGGGGAAACACCCATAGCTAGACTTAGATAGACAGTCATCTTTTAAGATGTTTAAACAAATCTGTGTAGAAGAGGTGCTTATCATCAGATAAGTCAGGGTTCCAAAGAGTCATTTGGAAAACATTTCTGAGTGACTTCTATATAGATTTTTTAAATTAAATGGCTTACGGGCTAGGCACGGTGGCTCAGACCTGTAATCCCAGCACTTTGGGAGGCCGAGGAAGGCAGATCACTTGAGGTCAGGAGTTTGAGACCAGCCTGGCCAACACAGTAAAACCCCCATCTCCACTAAAAAAAAAAAAAAAAAAAATACAAAAATTAGCCAGGCATGGTGGTGCGTGCCTGTAGTCCCAGCTACTCAGGAGGCTGAGGTAGGAGAATTGTTTGAACCCAGGAGGCAGAGGCTGCAGTGAGCCAAGATCGTGCCACTGCACTCCAGCCTGGGTGACAGAGTGAGACTCCATCTCAAAAAAAACAAAACAAAACAAAAATTAAATGGCTTAGGCTAAACTTCTTCTTTCACAAATATTATTTCACACCTTCTTCAAGTCCTTAAGCTTCACCCTTGACAAACTCAAGAGCATTTCCAACAAGGTCCTGGCCAGTGAGGCCCACACAGTGTTTGCTACAGTTCTTAACAAGTCGTAGGTACAGCATGGCAAAGCACCAGTAGGTATGTGCTGGAGTGGGCCAGGTTTGGAGTGGTCTGAACCATGCCATGGGAGACCTCCTTTAAGAAAAAACAAACAATATGCAGAGAACGAGGCCTTGGAAAGAGGCTGTGTAAGTAAAGGAGCCTGAAGCATCATTAGCTTCCCAGTAAAGCCACCTCTAGGGCTGTTATCTTTAAGTTAGCAAAGGGATGTTTGCAAATGGAAGTCTCCGAAGGTGCACCCAACTCTGCATCAACCCCAACAGGGAACACAGTCTCTCAGGAGCTTAACCGACCACTGCCGACAGCCACCTTATCCGAGAAGGTTCTCGTGGGTGTGCAGGAGCTCTTTGCAGGCTTAGGTGGCAGAGAGGTGATCAGGGGAGAGGAAAAGGGCCAGCAGCTGATGGAGTAGTGCAAAGTAGAAGAATGCACAAGAGAGGGGTGGTGGGGGGGGAAGACAGAGAGTGGAGGAGAGCCCACCTCTCCCCAGAGAGGAAAGTTGAAAGAAACAGAGGGTTGAGGCGAGCCCACCTCTTCCCACAGGGAAGGTGAAAGAGACAGAGAGGGTTGGAAGGAGAGGAGCCCGCCTCTGCCCTCAGGCTCCTACTGTGTGACCTTGACTGTCTCCTCCAGCTCCACCCTCGAACATATTTTTCTGTGAGTCTGTGAGAGTCAGTCAGAAGTACTTGGGCTGAACCCTAAAACAGAATTTGCCAATTAGTCTTCAGTAGAGAAGGCTTTCTTCAGGTCAACAGAGACAAGCAAATCTAATTTGCCATTTCCTTGTTCCTTAGAGCCAGGGGGTATTGTGTGGACAGAAAGCATTAGGATGAGTGAGGGCTCCAGAGGGGAAGCTTGAAAACAAGATGCCTTGGTCCAGCAAGGGCGCTGGCTTGCCAGCTGAGCTCTCTGAAGCGGCAGCTCCGCCCTGGGCTCATTCCCAGGCCCGGCCTGCTGGAGGCTGTGCGGAGTTACAGGAAATGGGAGTGCCGCTGCGGCTCAGCTGCCTCTGTCAGTAAGAATACGAAACGGTGATGTTCATAAAACATTCTTTGCAAAGCACAGTCCGTCCAAACCCTGGTATAGTTTCCAGAAGACGAATGTTTAATCAATGAGGCTGCTCTGCCTCTGCCTCTGCCCTGTCAAGACTGAGCCCATGTCCTGAGCAGAGCTGACAGCATGGGAGAGCGCCCGCAGCCTACACAGGCCACAGCTGTCTGCAGCCTGCTCAGTAGCCCCCACCGGAAGGGACCTGCACCCTGAGCTGAAATTCCCTGCAAGAGCAGAGAAAGCTACTCTGTTGCCCACCTGACAGCTTGGAGAAGCACCGCCGTGGCACAAATGATTGTGGTGATGAGTGGAAAGGATTGTTAACGCTTCACAGTCAGCCCCTTCCAAGTACTTTTTATTTATTTATTTATTTAGAGACAAGGTCTTGCTCTGTCGCCCAGGCTGGAGTACAGTGGCGTGATCTCAGCTCACTGGAACCTCTGCCTTCTGGGCTCAAATGATTCTCCTACCTCAGCCTCCTGAGAAGCTGGGATTACATTTGTGTGCCACCATGCCCAGCTAATTTTTGTATTTTTTGTAGAGATGAGGTTTTGCCATGTTGCCCAAGCTGGTCTCGAACTCCTGAGCTCAGGTGATCCTGCCTGCCTTAGCCCCCCAAAGTGCTGGGATTATAGGCATGAGCCACTGTGCCCGGCCGCCTTCCAAGTAGTTTCTAATGGCCTTTCCTTTCCTCCAAATAACCCTACTCCCCTCCCCTCCCCCGCACTTTGGCACCTTTCTTTCCCAAGCCTTCCCCAGCTTCTCAGTGTTTTGCAATTGCACTGTCCAGGCTAAAGCCACAGAAAAGCAAGGATCTTCGTGAGACTTGCTTGCCCTCTTCATAGCTCCACTATGAACTTTACTCTTGCCTAGGACCTAATCTTTGAGCATCTAAAGCCTGCAGATTCTTGAAGACTGCAGCCCCTCAACCTTCTCTTCTAGGCTGGAGGGTGGCTCAGGGTGGCCTACTACTTGTGATTTTAGAAAGAAACCCATGAGGCTGGGAAGGAAGTGTGCACTGCATGAAATAAGTGCCTTAGGATCAGCAGCTTTGGGTGAACTTCCTCCCTCCCCTCAAGGCTGCGTTGTGCATGTTGGCTCTGCACCGCTCTGTGGCTGCAGGGGTATGAGCAATGGCAGCTCTGTGCGAGTCTCTTATCAGGAAGAGGTCGGAGCACCTAAATCACAAAGCCATTGGTGAGTGGTTCTTCAGTAACTCTAGCCTTCTGATAAAGAGGAGGAGATAATAAGCCAAATAACATTTATTAAGCATCTGCTGTGTCCAATGTGGAATAGTGGAAAGAGGTCTACCCCAGCTCCAAATCCTAGATCCATCCCTTACTTTCATCTGTAAGGTCTTGATCGAGCTGTCCAACCCATCTGTGCCCCAGGGTCTTCATTTGTGAAGAGGGGAACAGGCTCATTCTAAGAACTCCTGCAGAAGTGAAGTGGAGCAGCCACTTTATAGCTTGAGCACAGAGTCCCGATTTGCTCACCTAATATCCATGTCTGTTCCTCCTTCCCATCAAAACACTGCTCCTGAATCTCACTGAGAAGGTACCGCACAGGCTCAAGTTGAAGATTTATAAGTCCTGTTAAGTCTCTTCTAGCTGTTCTGAAACTTGCCCATAGTTCAAGGAGAGGGTTTGCGGAGCTATCAGGGGTGCCTGTCGCATAGCCTGGAAATGTGCTTACACTATCTTCTTTGCCCAGTGAGCGAAGGGAAACAGAGGACACGAGGCAGATATCATGTGACTTAAGAACGCGTGGAAGAATAGGAAACGTCTTCTCAAACGTGGGCATTCTCAGACCACAGAGGCTTCGGGAATGGCTCTTGAAGCTGTTGGAAATTTAGCAGTGGGGAATTCTAGGCTTTTACCAAACAGTCTTTTCTTTTTTTGGTGGTAAAATAGACATGGCATAATATTTGCCACTTTAACCATTTGTAAGTATAAGTTCAGTAGTATTAAGTCCGTTGATGTTGTTCTGCAACCACCACTACCACCCATCTCCAGGGCTTCTTCATCTTCCATGGCTGGAACTCTGCATGCCTTAAACACCAGCTCCCTCTTCCTCCCGCCCCAGCAGCCACCATTCTTCCTTCTCTCTAAGAACATGACCCTCCAGGGACCTTGTTTGAGTGGAATCACACAGTTATTCGTCTTTTTGTGACTGGCTTGTTTCACTTAGCATGCTTTCCTCAAGGTCCACCCATCTCGTGGATGTGTCCGAATGCACTTCCTTTTTAAGGCTGAATCAGTAACACTGTGTGTCTACACCGCACCTTGTCCCTGCTGTCATCCATCAGTGGACACTTGAGTCACTTTTGACTTTTGACTTACTATCAATAACATTGCTATGAACATGGGTGTACAACTCCTGTATTTTTAAAACAATGTGGTTTAAAAAATGGTTTTCAGCATACAAGAAACAGCCACCCACTGCTGTAGATGGCCTGTGACTCTGTCCAAGAGATTTTTTTAATTATGTCCTTTAAATTGGGAACCAAGACCACTGGCTTCATAACCAGTGGCTGCATGTTATGACTGGGCACCCGTGGTGACTTCATTTGAGCAGAGGCAATTGCAGCACCAGGCGCTGGGTGTCTCTCCCAATGCACCTGGACCACTGTAGGCGCTCCCTGCCTGGCTGACTGAGGTGTCACTAACGGTTTCTCTCTTCTCGCACCCCACCCTCCCCGCCCGTGCCCTGTCCCCATCCCTGTCCCTCCCCACCTCTGCCCCCTCCTCTCCACCTTCTCTTTGCTGGCGCCTCCCGCTCTCCAGTGCGACCAAGACCAGTGCATTCAGAGCACCAAATTCGTTTTGCAGGCTGCAGCCACGCCCCTGCTGCAGAGCGAGCCCAGCCTCACCAGCGACGAGCTGCACCTGCCCGGGAAGCCTGGCCTGGGCACGCCCTGCGCCAGCCTCACACTGGGCCCGCCCACACCGCCCGCCTCCATGCCCAACCTCGCCGAGGCCACGCTCGCGGACGTGATGCCCCGGAAAGATGAGCACATGGGCCACCAGTTCCTGACGCCCGATGAGGCGCCCTCGCCCCCCAGGCTACTGGCGGCGGGCAGCCCCCTGGCGCACAGCCGCACCATGCACGTGCTGGGCCTGGCCAGCCAGGACTCCCTGCATGAGGACTCTGTGCGCGGCCTGGTGAAGCTCAGCTCCGTGTGACCCACATGGCCCCAGGCCGGGGGACACCAGAGGCTCCTCCATGGGCAGCAGGAGTGAGCGGAGGGGTGTGTCCCACAGCGACTTTCCCAGCCAATGCCACGGTGGAGATGACAGCCCCAGGTCTGGGGTACAGAGACCACTTAGGATGGCACAGGGTGGCTGGCCCCGGATGCTGAGAGCTTGGTTTCATTTGAATTTTCTTCCCCAACCTGAGTGCTTTGACAACAATGGAAATAGAGAAGTGGCTGCTTTCTTTTGGTGACCCTCCAGGGGTGGAATCGGAGTGTGTCTGCCCGCCCTTGTGACAGACACACGGAAGGCTTCTGACGCTTGTGGCCAGACTGCAATTGCACTTATGTGTTATGCTACTAATATTTGAAACAGACCTGCCATTCCATTTGTTAATTAAAAAAAAAAAAAATCCTAAAGGGAAAAAACCGACCAGGTGTGGATCTGCATGCCACGCTGCCGTCTGTGTTACAGTGGTGTTGCTATTTCCAAGGAAGTGCTGCTTTCTTTTTCTTTTTTTAATTTTGTGAATTTTCAAGTGCTGTTTTGTTGGAAGACAGTGCAACGAACTGAGACTAATGGACAGTGTCATCACTCAGCTTACTGGGCTGAGGCGTCTGTGGAGAGGTGGCACCGGGGCTGCAGAGGGCGGCTGGGGTTCCGTCGTGTCGGGTGTCACTTCACCTTCTGTTTGGCCGCTCGATGAGGTCTCGTGTTGAGATATTGTGTGCCACAACCCCCACAGTCTTCACCTCCGTGTGTGATGAAACTTCCCGTGGACAGCCAATAAAATGACGTCCTCTGTTATTTTGGATCTGCGTACGGTTATCCTTAATAGCATAAATGAAAACAAAGTCATCCAGATGGGGAGAGTTTTTCTTGAAATGTCCCTAGCGAGGAATGGTCCCCAGACAACCAAAAGTCAAATCTTTGAACTGGGAGATATTTATAGAATAATTTCTTAGATAAGAGGCAAGTTTTCCATCATTTATTTTCTTTAATTATCTCTTTTTGACACCATCTTAGTGGAATTTGCTCTACGTTTGCAGTTTGCCGTGCAACAGTTGATCGGAAGTAGGGAGAGGGGAGGGGACGCTCAGGGAGAAGGTTCTGTCGGGCGTCTTCTGGGCTTCCTTCTGTGTTAACGTGTCACTCAATCCCAGAAGTGCAACTTGAGGTCCTAGTAAAGGTATCAGAAAATGAGGAGGAGAAATCGGCTTACAGTCTAAGCTGAGATCATGTAGGTCATCATCCTTCCTAGACACTGATCAGAATGAAATTAAGAAAATGACCACTTTGTTCACTTTCATTGGTCACCTAGAAGGGAACGAACTGGCTCTGGACTTAGGGAGTGTGTCACTATGGGGGCAGCCACAGGGGACACAGCAACTCCTCTCCTGGCTTCTTTCCAGACCATAAATCTAACAGCTAAAGCTACTCAAGTTCAAAGCCATGGCCTTGCTCCTTATAACCATATGAAAGACAAGACACATTGACCAATGATACAAGTAACCCAAGTGATTTGCATTTATGGAAAAAGGCTATTACTCCTGAGAAAGAGTTGCCATTTTATATAAAAGAAAAGAAGATAGGAAAAAGAAAAGCACACAAGTTTTATTTGGAATGAAGGCAATTCACAGGTCACAAAATAATTCATGCTGAAAGGGCCTGCAGAGTTCTTGCACTGTGATGTCTTCGAGCCATCTTTATTGTCATGCTGCATGCACGTATAGAAAATGGAATAGGTCCATTCTATGTAGCCATTTTTGATTTTCTGAACCACCTAACTACTTGTACCCACCTGCAATGTGTAATTCATGGGGCAGTGCCCTCCTTACACAACCGCACACGCTCACAGGCACCAACTCACAGGGATTCTCCTTGTCCACGCTACCTGTGAGCCCAAAGTGACAGCCCCACAAAGGAGCTTCCACAACTTCCCAAACCGTCTCTGCTCCTTGCTTTCTTCCACCTGCTCCCCAGAGGCCCCAGGAAGGAGTTGGCCCTGATGAGAACGGTGCTCCATGGGTGACCGCGAATCCGGCTTAGCCCTCACTCCGGTCCCACGTGTGGCCCAGTCCATTCTCAGCTCATTCCCCTGGAAAGCAAGATCATGGTCTTCAGAGGCCTCCCGCTTCTAACATTTCCTAACTCAGTGGTTGCCACTCTCCTGTGACCAGCCCTTCTTCCCACCTCACTGTGAAAAATTCCCAGAAGCCAGGATCACGACTCACTTGTCTTCACATAATGGATATTTACTTAATATTTATTATCAATTTCCCCACCTCCAACCCTGTCCCTGGCACACACTTGGCATCATTTATCCAATAGGGGACTGGGAATTTTGGTGAAGTGAATCAAGGCTATTCAGGGTCAAGAGAGAGATTAACTTGAATGGGCCAATTTGCTAGATAATTAATGTCTTAAAAACCAAAACCAGAGAGAAGCCCACAGCCCTGTCCTCTGTGGCTTGAAAAAGAAACCCAGCATCAGAGGAATGAGCGATGATGCCCCCTGGGGCGCCCACTTCTGTTTGTCAGGAGGGATGGTCGGAGGGGCAGCTCACCTGGCGAGGTGATGGCTCTGCATTTCCCACGAACATATATGTGACATGTACATAAATATAAATACTTATGTTTATAAATGTTGAATGGTTCCTTCTAGCTGTGGCTGAGTAGACGTTGGTGTTTCTAACTTCTTTCAGTGTGTTAGAGATTGATTACATGCTAGCTATAAAAAGTAAAATAAATATTTTACCATGCTATTAAAGCTTGGACCATTATCAAACACACACAAACACACACTCATTCTGCTGTTTAAAAATTCATCTGCGTTCGTTCTCCCAGGAGTGCTCCAGGGAACCACAGGCTTCCCGGCACTTGAAGGCTGAACTGAGCGTGAGTGCCCTGGTCCCCAGGAAGCAGGCGGATGCTGCAGGAAGGTGGCAGACAGCCTGCATCCAGGAGGGCCCCAGGAAGTGGGGATGCTGCAGGAAGGCGGCACAAAGCCTGCATCCGGGAGGGCCCCAGGAAGCAGGGGGATGCTGCAGGAAGGTGGCAGACAGACTGCATCCAGGAGGGCACAGTGACCTGTCACTCCGTTCTGCAGAAATTGGCCCAGCAGTTGCGTTATGCCCAACCAAAAGATGCTCGTTCCAGCTTTCAAATGTGATGATTTCAGCCTGTGAGGACAATGCCATGTCCCCACCCTAAGCCAGCAAAATGCGAAATCTCTGTTCTGGCCCAGAATGGCACAAGGGAGGAGTCTTTGCAGAGTTCCACGCCACCCCCCAGCTTACTGCGGCCTTCACCGGCTCTGTCTAGGATTGCCAGCTGTGGTTCCAAGTGAGGAGCAAACCCATTTTATGAGCCATGTTCCTGCGGAGACCTGATGGGCCAGGCCTTCTGTGGCTTTGAAAACCCCTAAGCTCTTCACCTCCTGGGCCTAGGCCTTCTTGTCTGACTCAACAGCAAGAAAAATGAACTTGCCAAAATTGGCAGTAGGTGTCCTTGACACAGGGGCTTCTGATGGCATCGCCCAGAAAATGCTGGAACCAGAACTGGTCAGAGACTTTGAAGGGCACAGCCTGGCGGGCTACTCCCCAAGGGTCTCAGGTCTCTGCCCACCTGACTACCCTGCAGCAAACGCTTCTCTGTAACCTGACTTCTCCCTTCAGACCTCAGCCTACAACCATCCTCTTCATGCCAGGAACCAACTGCTTCTCAGCCTCGGCTTAGGGTCTTAAGTTCACCAGAAGGGATCGGGGTTTGCGTTGATATTATAAGGAATCTTCCCAGAAGGAGCTGCCCTTCATCCATCCACAAGAATACATTGAGTTCATTTAGTTCTTGACCAGGTAAGAAAAGAATAAAGGAGAACAAATATTAAATACTCTTTTCTAATTGATGCCTTACTACTGTTTTGAAGCTGAGCCGAAATCAAATTGATGTTTACATTTTCTATCAAGTACACATGAGCTGTGGGAGTCTAGCATATTCTTGTCCAAAAGAGAGAGACTTTCAAATGAATTCCTATTCCTCTTGGTCCCCTCCACCTATTTTGGAGGTCTGCATGTGGAGTTGTATGCTATTTTCCAAGGTACCTCATTTAAAAAAAAAAAAAAAAAAAAACTGCCTCTCATTTGTTCCCTTAAAACGTCTCTCTCTCTCATAAAACTAAGTTATCATTGAAATATTAAACGATCTGAAGCGTCTTTTTTTTTTTCAAATAAATGTCAAAGATGGTAATAGTTTGTAAATCAGTAAATCCTCTGTCCATCTGCCCATTGTCCATGGTCCTGATAATAGAGCCAAGATGGATTTTCACATGTAAGGTGTTAGTCCATTAATCCAGCCATTAAAAGTAGTTGGGAGATTGAAGATTAGATGGTTTCTGGAGCAACCGAATTTGCAGCTGCCACAAAACTAGATAAATAGCCACAACTGGAGTTATTTTTTGATCTCATAAACCCCAGGAATTACACACAGAATGGATTGAAAAGCAGACAAGCATCTTGTGCTATTGCAGAGACTTTTCTACCCAGGAAGTGTTGAATTTTTAAAAGAAACTTGATATTGGTGATAAAGGTATGAATGAACAACTCTCTTACTTGCCCTCGATGTTTCAAGATGCCTGGTGAAACCGAGAGGCCACATGGCATGTCCAAGGAGACATGCTTTCTGGGTTCTATATGAATAGAGATGGTTTTAGCCTGCAATTAAAAAAAAAAAAAAAAACGGTTGAAGCCTTGCTAACTTTTTCCCAGAGCATTCTGGGTTGATATTTCACAGTCAAACGTTTTGGCATGGAAAAAAAAAAAAGCATTTTAAACTCTTAGTGAATTCAAAGCTCTAAATCCAAACAATGGTGAACACATGTACATAACATTTCATGTTTTCAGAGATACGTATGCTTATTTAAGTGCCTTTCATGTTTTAATCAATGTTTGCAGAATTTATCTTAAACCTGAGATGAATTAAAAAATTTTTCTCCTTCAATAAAAACTGCTAATGGCATAAAATGTAAATTTCAGCCTTTATAAGGTAGATATCGTCTTGGTCAACAAGATGTGTGGGGAAGGGAGGAATCGACTTGCACTCAGTGAATATGCACGTTGTGGACACCCATCTGTATAAGGATGAGGGTTTTCTGATCGTAGATACCCAGATTGCTTTCCTCAGACGTGGTTCTCAAGTTTCAATTCTACTTTAGAGCAATGCAGAAATTTAAAGTCCCTAATCCAGCATGTTCTATATGCCACCTTTTAACACATGCACACGTGCGTGGGCACACACACACCAGCCTCACCAGAGAGGAACTGTGCTTGGCTACTCATAACAAAATCCCCAAATCACAGCAGCTTAGGAAAAGAAATGTCTTTTCTGTATGCAAAACAAGTGCAGAGGTAAGGCAATCCCGGGACATTGTGGTGGCTCTGCAGTGTCATCAATGTCCTGGCTTCCTTCTCTCTGTTCTGCCATTCTTAGCACTGGCTCTCATCCTCAAGGTCACTTCATGGTCACAATACAGCTGCTACAGTGCCAGCCATCAAAGCCATATCCTTAGGTTTTCTATTAAGTACGTATGAGCTGTACATATGAGTCTAGCATATTCTTTTCCAAAAGAGAGAGACTTTCAAATGAATTTCTTTTCCTCCTGGTTCCCTCCACCTATTCTGGAGGTCTGTGTGGCATTGTAAGCTGAAAGAAGGAGAAACGGGGAGGAGCAAAATGGGTACAGACACTTATGACTGCTCCCTTTAAAGAGCATTCCCAGAAACCCCAATCTATGATTTTTCCATGATTGAAATTAAGTCACATAACCACTGCTGGCTAAAAAGGAGGGTGGGAAGCTTGGTGTTTTAGCTGGGCACATTCCTGCTCCAAATAATATTGGAGGTCTGTTGGTCAGGAAGAAGGGGAAAATGAGCATTCACTAGATAATCACAATAGAAAATTCCATCTCCTCCATTAGTGCAAGAGTGACACCCTCCAGCTAGAGCTCTGTCATCCTTCTCTTCCCCACTAAAAAGTTCTGCCTCATCCATCTACTGTTCTCTCCCTTTAGAGAGCATTCCTACCTGCTAAAGTAGGCTTGACCCCATCTCCTGCATGACCCAGGACCCAGCCCCTTCTCTCCTCCGTGACCCAGGACCCAGCCCCTTCTCTCCTCCATGACACGGGACCCAGCCCCTTCTCTCCTCCATGACACGGGACCCAGCCCCTTCTCTCCTCCATGACCCTGGGATTCAGCCTCTTCTCTACTCCATGACCCCGGGACCCAGCCCCTTCTCTCCTCCATGACCCAGGACCCAGACCCTTCTCTCCTCCATGACCCAGGACCCACCCCCTTCTCTCCTCTATGACCCAGAACTCAGCTCCTTCTCTCCTCCATGACCCAGGACCCAGTTCTTTTATGATCTCTTGCATCTTCAGTTTCTTCCCACCAGTTGTTTCCGTAGGCCACCATACCATACTGCTACTTTGAAAACAACAAAAAAAACTCATCTTCCTTGTCTCTCTATTCATCTTTAAGTGCTCATTCCTCTCATTGGCTTGTCTCTCTGTTCATCTTCAAGCACTCGTTCCTCTCATTGGCTTGTCTCTCTGTTCATCTTCAAGCACTCATTCCTCTCATTGGCTTGTCTCTCTGTTCATCTTTAAGCACTCATTCCTCTCATTGGCTTGTCTCTCTGTTCATCTTTAAGCGCTCATTCTTCTCATTGCCAAATGTCTCAAGAGTGGCTTGCCCTCCGGTCTTCCATTTCCTCACTTCCCACTCTCTGTCAGCTTCCCTTCACTGCATGCTTCTGAAATGCACTCTCCATGATCTCCAGTGGCAAATCCTGTGGCCTGGCTGCATTCTCTTTAACATCCCTGAAGCATCTGACATGGTTGAGCACCCCATGCCCCTGGATCCGTGCAGCTGGCTGTATTGCAGGAGGCAGACAAGCATGCAGTTGGGCATCTCTAATGCTTGTGGGCAATGCTCTCTCCCTTTGGCCTCAGTGACACTGCTGTCTTTATTCCAGCTGACATCTGCTTGCAATCTGCTTCCTTCTCACATCCCACAAATGAGGACACATGGCAAGGCTCGTTTCCCTGCCCTTTGGCCTTTGCTGTCTCCTCTATTCCCCTGCAGAGACTTCACCACTCCAGTGCCTTCTACTCCTGCCTCTTCTGTGGACTCAACTCTCCAGCACCCATCACCCTCCCAAGGATTAGCCCCACAGCTGAACCAGCTGCTTGCTAGACAAAAGGAGATTTAGCCAGGAATCTGACTCCAGCTTGCCTGCAGCTAGTTCTGTAACCTCAGGCAGGTCACAGAGCCCATGGGCCTTACTTTCCTTGGCCACAAATGCGACCGCTTCTGGGCTCGCTGTGGTATGCTTGGCTCCATGTTCCCACTTACATATCCCATCACTGCCCCAAACCCAAATGCTTGAGATTGGATTCAACATCTTTCTTCCCAAACAGGCCTTTATTTTAGTTGAAGCTTCCCCAGGAGAGCCCCAAGCTTACAACTCTGGAGAGGCCTTTGATTTCCTTACTCTGTAGATCCAATCGGGCCTCAAGCCCTGTCACTCTTCCTCTACAGGATCCACAAAATCTTTCCTTCTTCTTCACTTTATCGCCACCTTCACCATCTAACCCAAAATGTTAGGATTGCTGCGAAGAGCTCTCCTCCTGCCAAATGTTCCTGTTCCTGCCCATCCCGTACAACCCAGGCACGTGTCTTCCCAGCCATCGCCAGGCCCATGTCAGATCCCAGGTGTCAGATCATCCACAGCTTTTTCTTCCCCATGTGCCCCTCAGACCAGCATCTAAAGCTTCCATAATCTGGCCCCAAATGGTTTCCATTCTTCTTTTCCCTTCTCCCTGTCTCCCTCTCTGGCAATTCAGCCTCCTCCCTCCCTGGCAGAACCCACCAGGCGCTTCCCACCCTCCGCGTCTCCCTCTGCCCCTCTCTGCCTCTCTCCGCTTGTCTAAGTCCTTCCTGCCTCCCCATTACTAACACGTTTCATAGGCGTTGAGGGCCCCCTTTCCTCTGAATTCCTCAAATACTTGCTCCGTCACATATTTCTTCAAAATTGAGATATAATTCACATACCATGAGATTAGCCCTTTAAAAATGTACAATTCCGTGTTTTTAGTATAGTCGCAAGGTTGTGCAGACATCACCACTAACCCAGAACATTTCCCTCACACATTTCATCCTTTTTCTAGACCACCTACTGTAGTTTCTGTCTTCATGTGAATGTCCTGTCTCCCAGTAACGCCTGAAAGCACCGTGATGGCTCCAGGGTTTTTGCTGTGGCACAGTGCCAGGCAGGCTTCTGCACCACCGGGGATCGTCAGTGCTCGAGAAGGGGGAGGAAGAGGCGATGAGGGTAACAGAAACAGCCTCTAAGGCATTGAGGACCCAAACTCCGCCAGGGACCTCAGGGGGAGGTGGAGGTGACGAGGGTAACAGAGACAACGTCTAAGGCATTGAGGACCCAAACTCCCCCAGGGACCTCATGCTGACACCTGAGGGCCTCAGAGAAAAGCCCCCCTCCCTTATACTCCCCTCTATGTCCAACTGTGAGGGAAGGCTGCTGCTGTGACGTGAGTCCCTGTGTGGAGTTCAGCTGAGCCAGGAGCCAGTGCTACCCGGTGCTATGAGACCTCCTCACTCACCTTTGCAAGCCATCTGACACTCCCTGTCTCTTCTTGTGGATAATTTGGGATAAAATTGGGGTCTTAAGGCAATTAAGATTTCATGTAATTCTAATAGAAAAACAGAATAGTGGAACTTTCAAAAATATATTATCTGGCTGGGCGCAGTGGCTCACGCCTGTAATTCCAGCACTTTGGGAGGCCAGGGTGGGCGGATCACCTGAGGTCAGGAGTTCGAGACCAGCCTGGCCAACATGGTGAAACTCTGTCTCTACTAAAAATTCCAAAATTAGTTGGGTGTGGTGGCATGTATCTGTAGTCCCAGCTACTTGGGAGGCTGAGACAAGAGAATCGCTTGAACCTAGGAGGCGGAGGTTGTCGTGAGCCAAGATCACGCCACTGCACTCCAGCCTGGGAGACAAAAGTAAGACTCCATCTCAAAAAAAAAATAATAATAATAAATATATATATATATATAATCAATAGTAGGATAACTTGGATTATTTGCAGATTGCATGCTTTAAAAATAATTTTAAAATAAAAACCTATTAGCCAGTTCCATTAACAAACACCTGTTGGACATGTGACATAGTATTTGTTCTGAGTAATGGGCATTGCTCTTTGTACTATAAGCTGTAATACATATATGTTTTATAACACATGTGAAATGTTCATACTGCATTTTCTCTGGCAAAATAGATGACGCATACTCTCTACCAACAGATTACATTCCATAAATTGGCTTGGAACTTGGAATATATTTTTCCCATGGAAACAAAAATAGTAAATGGCTTTTAGACCCTACACCAGTTCACAAAATAGTTTACCTGAAATAATATTAATAGTCCTAGGACCTAAGCAACCCTAAGCATTCCTGAACCCCTAAACTTCTTTGAGTTCTGAGCCCTGAGCCTGGGTCTAAGACCCTCCAGCCCCAGAACCCCCTGGAGAATGGACTCCCCAGCCACTGCTATTTCTACCTCACTACCAGATAGATTAAATCCATCTTAAGAAACATGGAGCTCATCTGATTTCTTTAAAATCTCTACAAACAAACAAGAAAACAAAGAAAGCCTTAAATTTTCTAATTCCAGAGATTTCAAAATCTTTCAAATCTCCCTTATAATGTATTTAAGGATCTCTTAAGGAACGAACATTTCCTTTTTCTTGAAAGCCTATCGGAATTTCAGCTGAGATGATTTTCTGCCAGAAATTCTAGATAACTCTGCAGCTAAATCCAACTTGAGTAAACATGGATGACTCAGTGGGGACTGACACATTTTTGTTGTTAATATCCTGGATCAAAACATGCAGTATGCTTTGAAATATGCCTAGGTGACACATGTTGAAAAAAATTATTATTATTTTGTGAAGCCTTTTAGAAAGCTTTCCTTGAACTCATCAACACAACTGGAAAGCTACCAGGGAGATGATGACAAGCAAAGGTTTTTTTTGTTTTGTTTTGTTTTTTGAGACAGAGTCTCGCTCTCACTCTGTTGCCCAGGCTGGAGTGCAATGGTGCAATCTCAGCTCATTGCAACATCTGCCTCCCGGGTTCAAGCGATTTCCCTGCCTCAGTCTCCCAAGTAGCTGGGACTACAGACGTGTGCCACCACACCGGCTAATTTTTGTACTTTTAGTGGAAACAGGGTTTCACCATGTTGGCCAGGCTGGTCTTGAACTCCTGATCTCAGGTGATCCACCAGCCTTGGCCTCACAAAGAGTTGGGATTACAGGCGTGAGCCACTGCACCTGGCCTGCGGCATCTGTATCTTCTGAGATCTACTCTGAGGATTGAAAAAAAAAAAATTTTTTTTTTTGTGATGGAGTTTCCCTTTTGCCGTCCAGGCTAAAGTGCAAAGGCCCCGTCTCGGCTCACTGCAACCTCCACCTCCCAGGTTCAAGCAATTCTCCTGCCTCGGCCTCCCGAGTAGCTGGGATTGAAATTTAATCAGTTGGGTCAGTGTGGCAGCTGTGCTAGAAAACACACTTTCTGGAGATAATGAGAACAGATGGCTTCAGAGGCCACCAAGGGTTGTTTCCAACCCATCTTCTCATGGAAATGCCAAATAGGGTTCACCATGTGCCTGGATAACAACCGCAGGTCGGCAGTGCTGAGGCCACGGTGAGGCCCTGTCAGCTGATGCTCTGCTACCTATCAGGACTCCTGGTTCCTTGCCTTCTGCAGCTGTCCTCCTAAGATCTAGGTGAACATTGACTTTATGCAATAAAACGCAATCCCAGAGCATGATGAGCGGTAACTGAACGTGTAAATGTGAAGGGCCCTTTTATGAAGCACAGAAACCACCTCCAGTTCACCTGCAACGCTGTTGTGGATCTCTCTGCCTGTCCCCCAGGCTTCTCAAGGCACCCCTCCCTTCCATAACATACAGGATGTTAACTAGGAACCTCATGAAAGGGAGCCGGTCACCTCTGGACATGTCGGCTCCCCTGTGATGGGAACTTCCTCCTGACCAATGGGGTTCTGTATGTTCTCAGGAACTGACACGTGAGCTTCCAGCTGATGTGGCTGAATTCTGCATTATTAATTTCTGCATTATTAGAAATTCTGCATGATCAGAAAGAAGGGACTGGCATTCATTCCCACCAAACACCTCCTTGTCAGTTCATCCTGCTCAGCATCTGCTCTGAGAGGTCTTCCGCAGGCCCCTTCTTCAGCACCCGTCACCTGCCAGGGAGGAGACGAGTCGCTTGGAAGTGTTTAGGGGGATGGTGCTTTTTCTAAGAGGGGAGCAGAAGAGCTTTTTCTTTTTTTTAACAGAATCTGCTTCCATTTTTGTAACCCATGGTAACAAGCTGAACTACATTCAACGCTCAGTGTTTTATGTAAAAGCCAATGAGTGCCCATATAACCCACAAGAAGACACCAGATATGATCTGCCTCTAGACTGGATGCTGAGGCGGTTTGCAGCAGCAAGCGAGGATGAGGGTGCCCTGGAGCAGAGGCAGGGGAGCAGCAAAGCCAGGACCATGCCCTCAAGTCACCCCAGACTGAGCAATCTCCGCCATGGGGCGCAGGCATACCCTGGGAATCCCACGTGGAGAGTTGCTCCTGACTCACAGGCCTGGGCCACCCCTGACCACGATGGGGAGGATAAGCAGTGATGCCCTCATGTGAATATCTCAGGGTTTTGACATTTTTATTCTAAGAAATAAAAGGAGAAAACTCCCTGCTTAGTCGAGTCACAGAAAGAGCATAATGACTTCTGCACATGCCCATGATCTGTAGACCTCAGCCCAGCCGGCCCTGGCTCTGGATGCTCACACAGGAATCTTGTTCAAGGTCCCTCCAGTGGCAGGAAATCGCTTTAAAGACCACCTAACTGGGTGTCCCACCTCAGATCCATGCCCTCCACGGGTCATAAAACCAGTGTAGTGGGCGCAAACCACTGTCTTCTTTCTAGATAGAAGGGGTGAGAACAGAAGGATGAGAATAGGAAATGCCAAACTGCTTTGCCTGGAACAAGGAGAAACAGGTCCTGGGTCATGACATAGATATATTTTCTTATCATGGTCAAAAAGAAAATCTGAAAAAACTGTTCAGTTCACCCATTCCTGCCCCAGCTTACAAAAGAGAACCCTGGAAACCAGAGAGCTGAGAGGTCATATCCAAGGTCACAGAGGTGGCCGGGACAGAGATGGCACAGAGTGGAGGTCAGCCCTTCTCGAACCATGAGTGATAAAGAACAGTGTTCACTGTTTTAAAAAATTCCTATTCATTGCACATTAGTACTTGTATAAAATATAATTTTTAAATTACTGGGGAAAAAATTTAAATAGGTAACGAAAAGTCCCACTGTTTCATGATTAGATGTATTAGACATACTCTGTCCAATTGCCGTAGCTGTTTCTAAACACATACGCCATCTCTGTATTATCTCATCGGGGACCAGGATCAAACAGTTGCATGGTGCCGAGCTGCACTTGCTTTGAGTAGCCTCGTGTGCAGTGGAGGATTAACCGTGTCCTTAGAGAGGACTGGCTTCTGTCCTCTGCTAGTCATCTTTAAGCCCTTGCAACTGTCTGTGTGGTAAGAGTCTCTCTGCTTATCTGGGGGGTTGGACCGGCCAGGCAGTCTGTGCTGGCCATGTGGGTTATGGCCCCAAGGATCAGCTTGGTCTCTGGAGGGGCTGCAGGCCCAGGCCAGTGGTAGAGATAGCCAACCTGTCCCCATGACCCACCCCAATGAAAACTCCAGGCCTGAGGCTTGGGTGAGCTTTTCTGGTTGGCACTATTCCATGCCTGTTGTCTCATCATTGCAGGCAGAGATGGGCCCTGTCCACACAGCCCCTCTGAGAAAGGACAGCCAGAGGCTCTGCACCGGCATCTCAGACTCCACCCTGTGTGCCTCTTGCTTTGGTTGACTTTGATCTGGATAACTTTCACCGTAATAGAACTGCACATAGAAAGGCTCTTCGGAGTTCTGTGAGTCCTACTAGCCAATCATCAAACTGAGGGTGGTTGTGGGGAGCCCCAACCTTACACTGGGTGTCAGAATTGAGGGTGGCCTTGGGGACTCCTGAACTTTGCACCCTGGTACAGGCAACTGCTCCCAAACTGTGTTCTGAGGGTCCCCTAATGATTCCCCAAATCTGTCATCTCTCCCACCCACAAGCCAGAGCCTCTAAAATGCTGTGGTGCAGACACTGAGGGTCTTGCTCGTAGAGAAGCATGTTATCTGAGGGCTGGGGGGTCGCCAGACATTACAACTTTAGCAACCTTTTTAAAAAATGGTATCAACCAGCAAAGAGCAAGAAGCAGAGGGCAAGTAGGTCTTAGTAGGAAAATGAAGAACAGCTGACAGGATAAATCACTGTAAACATAAAGCTAATTCCCTTAAGTGCCATTCTAGACCTAGACCAATTTGTTAGCTTAAAAAAAAAAAAAAAGAGAGAAGAAAACATGGCTTATACTTTGGTTTGCTCTGAACACTGGCAAATTTAACATACTCAGAAATATTTAAAATTAGGAGTAATAAAGAGAGTTGTTTGGGATTTTTCCTCCTAATTTTCTAGGGAAAATGATAAAATCCTTAGCTAAAGAAATACATTGTTGTCTTTGGGAGGCTGAGGCAGGCGGATCACAAGGTCAAGAGATCCAGACCATCCCAGCCAACATGGTGAAACCCCGTCTCTACTAAGAATACGAAAAAGGCTGGGTGCGGTGGCTCACGCCTGTAATCCCAGCACTTTGGGAGGCCGAGGTGGGCAGATCACGAGTTCAGGAGATCGAGACCATCCTGGCCAACATGATGAAACCCCATCTCTACTAAAAAAATACAAAAAATTAGCTGGGCGTGGTGGCGGGCGCCTGTAGTCCCAGCTACTCAGGAGCCTGAGGCAGGAGAATGGCGTGAACCCAGGAGGCGGAGGTTGCAGTGAGCCGAGATCGCGCCACTGCACTCCAGCCTTGGCGACAGAGGGAGACTCCGTCTCAAAAAAAAAAAAAAAAAAAAAAAAAAAGCTACAAAAAATGGCTGGGCATGGTGGTGTGTGCCTGTAGTCCCAGCTACTTGGGAGGCTGAGGCAGGAGAATCACTTGAACCCAGGAGGCAGAGGTTGCAGTGAGCCGAGATCACGCCACTGCACTCCAGCCTAGGTGATAGAGGGAGACTCTGTCTCAAAAAAGAAAGAAAGAGAGAGAGGGAGGAAGGAAGGAAGGAAGGAAGGAAGGGAGGGAGGGAGGGAGGGAGGGAAAGAAAGAAGGAAATAAAGACATTGTTGCTGAAAAATTTCAAGAGGTGTTGCAGGCTTCAGCAATGTAAGATGTTAACTAAGAGCAAGAAGCAGAGGTGCTTGGGTTTGGGTAAAACCCTGAGCTTGGAGTGGGGGAGGGAGGCGGTCCTGCAGCCTGCTAGGTGTGGGAGCCACACATCCATTCTCTCAACACCACTTCTTGAAAACCGCTCTTGTCTTCTCATTGTTTGAAGACATGGCGGATTGCTTGGTTGTGAACTAAGAGCTAAGCCACACTCAGTGGAGGAAGCCTCGGAACCCTGTGGTTGTGCACACCCAGGAGACCTGTGTGGACACCTGTGTGGCTCCCCTTGCATAAGGAATTGTTTCCAACTCAGGTTCTTCAGGATCTGAAAACTACTGTCGTGAAGGTCACGTGCCAACAACAAGAAACCAGGGACATCCTGTAGGATATGAATGGGCAGTGAGGCGGGACCGCAGGGGGCATTTCAGAACTCCCCACATGACAAGGAAGTAGCTTCTGTGGGCCCCGATCTCCATCACTCTCGGCTTCTCCCACCTCCCCTGTGCCCAAGCCTGTTGGCAGCAGAGCGGAGGCGATGCCTCCAACGTCCTTCAAAGCAGCAGGTCTCAAATGTTGGGGCATGAGAATCACCCGGAGGACTGGAGAGAACACAGGTTGCTGGGCCCACCCACAGAGTTTCTGATTCATAGGTTTGGGATGAGGCCTGAGAATGTGCATTTCTAATACGGCTCCAGGTGAAATCGATGGCACAGGTTTGGGAACATACTTTGAGAACCACCGCTATAAAGAGTGGCAGGTTGGTCTGTTTCCGTGGACAGGGAAAGAGACGGCAGGTAGTCAGAGTGATGGAGTCCCTGGGAAGAGGAGGAAGACAAGGGGGATGGATGCCAAGGCCACTTACATCCATCACCACGTCAGGGCTTTGCACCGAGGTTGTGTAACTGTTGGCCTAGCCAGACCTCACCATGGGGAAACCAAGCAGGAGGAAGACTCCACTTCTCTGTCTTTCTCAGTGGGTACTGAGTAACACAGTGGGCCACGTGTTGGCCAGGTGCTGAGAATCCACAGGTGAACCTGACCCTGTCCCAGACTCCTGACTCCTCAAGGAGCTAAACAGCCTTCAAATTAAAAAGCCTCAAATCAGCAGATAACCCAACAGCGACCAGTTGATACTCAGGCAGCAGTCAGCCCGTCGGCGAGTGCTGGAAACGCAGGATTTACACTGATGACGTACACAGTGTGTGCCACTTGGGCCTGGGAGGATTGACAGCACGGTCACAGACGGTCATCCTTACAGGATTCGCACCAGGTACCCCCTCGATTCTTTGCTGTGCCACCACCCTCCACTCACTGAGTCGGGGCCCCTCTTGGGGATACTGGCACAGCCCAGAAGATAGAAGCTGATTCTTACCTGGAGCTGCCAGCAGGCTTTTGTTAAGCCAGAACAGAGACAGTAACAGGAAGAGAAAAGCCCCTTTGAGTCTGCGTATAAATAAAGACCTGGAAGGGTACCAGCAGCCAGTTTCCTTCCACCACCCAGAGAACAGCTGAGAATTCTGTCCGGACTGAGGGAAGGAGATTTCCCAATGGCAGATGGCAACCAGAGAGGAAAGCCTGCCCCCTCCAGGGGTTTTGGAGGAATCCGAGAGCAGAGGGATGGGACTGTGCCTCTTGGGTCGAGTCTAAGGACACAGCTCGTCTCCCAGCTGGCATGAGAGCAGCTAGTGGAAATCAAGGCAGGCCAGGTAACGGCCGAGAAACAGAGGGAGCCCCGTCACCAGCTCCCAGCCGCTCTGTCCAAAGCCCCAGACAGGCAGAGAAGAGCAGCTGGAAGTGTCCTGTGCCCTGAGCCGCGCCCAGAGGTGCACTCGTGTACAAAGCAGGGAAAAGGTCCTCCCCACCGCTCCTTCCTTCTCCCTGAGCCACGCCCAGAGGTGCACTCGTGTACAAATCAGGGAAAAGGTCCTCCCCACTGCTCCTTCCTTCTCCCTGAGCCACGCCCAGAGGCGCCCTTGGGTACAAATCAGGGAAAGGGTCCTCACCACTGCTCCTTCCTTCTCTTGGGGAAATGTCCTAATAGGCTGATTTTTGTAAGAGGACAGCACGTTGCTACTATAGGCACAAAATCTTCTGAGCCAACACACAGATCCGTGATGTCTACTGTGTGAGCAGCACCTGGGGGCCGTGGGGGGTCCCTTCTCCACAGAGGCCACCGAGCTGAAGGTGATCAAGGACCAAGGCGTCTTCTCAGATGAAGGGAAGCACACACAGCCCAGGATGAGAGGGAAGCTCTAACTCAATAAACGAAATGGCTTAGACAAGGTTACCTAGAAATGCCTGCACCGATGCTTCCCACACAGCGTGGAGCATGGGGACTCAGAGCTGGAAATCAAGTAGTTATCAAAAGCAAGCTTTTTCTCACCACGTGTGTGACTGTCACATTCATAATTGTCATAAAGAGGCACTTGGTCCCTGGCCACGTGGAGTGTCTACCTCAGTAGTCTGTGGGGCCATCCCAGGGCAAAAGTGGCTGCTGCCCACATCTCCAGCCTCTGCGCCTCACATGCACCCCCCGCAACACCGACTTGCTCCTGGGGCCTGGAACCCCCTTCCCAGTGCCACGTGCTCACACCCTCTGCCCAAGTTACTGTCTCTCCTGAGCACTGTCCAGCCCCTTGCTTTGCTTTTTGACTCTTCATGGCAGTTTTTGCTTGCTGATATTATATGCAATGTTGAAGTTGTTTATATTCTGTCTTCCCTAATAGAATATGTAACTTCCATTTGAAAACAAGGACTTTGTCTTGAATCAGGGGATCTGTTTCCCAGTGCCTCGAGCACTACCTGGTGCAGAGTAGATGCTCAATGTTTACGGAATGGATGAAGATCTTCATTTAGAGGAAACTCTACCTTGCGGCGAGCCAACTGCTCCCTGCCGCCATTCAGAAGCTGTGTTTGCTGTTCTTGTCCGGCCAGCCTTGGCTCCAACTTGAGAAAGCCCATCAGGGTGTCATTTCCCTACTGAGCTCACCCCAGTTCAAGAAATACCAATATCCTGCGTTTGCGAGAAGGATCTTACTTTTCTCTAGTTTATGGATTTTTTTTTTTAGCACGGTCATCATAATTGCTTGGGCCCAATGCTGTGTAAATGCTCCTAGCTAGTTTGAGCTCCAAAAAAAAAAAAAAAAAAAAAAGCAGCAGCAGCCAGTGGGAGAATGAAAAGAAATGGCTGTCTTCCATCTCCATTTTAAAGCAGGAGGAGCTCGCCATCATCACCGCCACCCAACGAGGGGAAATATTGAGCAGACGATTCACCAGATGCTGAGCAGACTGCAGTTACCATGGAGTCGGAGCGGTGACAGACAGTTGCTGTCTGTCCAGGATTCATGGGTGGTGACAGCACAGTGGGATAGCCCAGCCCTCGGGTCCCCTTCCACCCCCACACCCTTCTCGACTTCTGCCACCTGGTTAAGGCCCTTTCATGACTCATTGTCCACTGGCACTCAAGGAGAGGGGAATAAATAACCTTAAATCAGCCTTTTATTTCTGACAGGGTCTTGCTCTGTCACCCAGGCTGGAGTGCAGTGGTACAATCTCAACTCACTGCAGCCTTGACTTCCCAGGCTCAAGTGATCCTCCCGCCTCAGCCTCCCAAGGAGCTGGGACTACAGGCATACAACACCACACCTGGCTGATCTTTGTATATTTTGTAGAGACAGGGTTTCACCATGATGCCCGGGCTGGCCTCAAACTCATGCAATCTGTCTGC
The DNA here is from genome assembly GCF_000001405.40 of Homo sapiens. Classification (NCBI taxonomy): domain Eukaryota; kingdom Metazoa; phylum Chordata; class Mammalia; order Primates; family Hominidae; genus Homo; species Homo sapiens. Next base: position 157,691,297 of record NC_000006.12, read on the forward strand.
CTTAGCCTCCCAAAGTGCTGGGATTACAGGCAAGAGCCACCATGCCTGGCCTAAATCTGCCTTTTAAAATGAGCATGGCAGCAGCTGTGGTCCCAGCTATGAGGAGTAAAGAGATAAGGTTCACATTTTCCCTAAAAGGATATTTGGGATAATCCCTGGCTAGACCAGAAGCTCTCTCTGGGCAGGAATCTGTGCTCCATAAACATTTGCAGAATGCAAAGGAGTGAATGAGCCTCCCCATCTGCAGGCCCTCACCTGCCACCCTACTAGTTCCCTCCCTTCCTTACACTCTGTCCCGTACCTGCCACCCTACCAGTTCCCTCCCTTCCTTACACTCCGTCCCATACCTGCCACCCTACCAGTTCCCTCCCTTCCTTGTCACTCCGTCCGGTACCTGCCACTGCCACCCTACCAGTTCCCTCCCTTCCTTACACTCCATCCGTACCTACCACCCTACCAGTTCCCTCCCTTCCTTACACTCCGTCCGTACCTACCACCCTACCAGTTTCCTCCCTTCCTTGTCACTCTGTCCAGTACCTGCCACTGCCACCCTACCAGTTCCCTCCCTTCCTTGTCACTCCGTCCAGTACCTGCCACTGCCACCCTACCAGTTCCCTCCCTTCCTTGTCACTCTGTCCCGTACCTGCCACCCTACCAGATCCCTCTCTTCCTTGTCACTCCGTCCCGTACCTGCCACCCTACCAGATCCCTCTCTTCCTTGTCACTCCGTCCAGTACCTGCCACCTACCAGTTCCCTCCCTTCCTTGTCACTCCATCCAGTACCTGCCACTGCCACCCTACCAGTTCCCTCCCTTCCTTGTCACTCTGTCCCGTACCTGCCACCCTACCAGATCCCTCTCTTCCTTGTCACTCCGTCCAGTACCTGCCACCTACCAGTTCCCTCCCTTCCTTGTCACTCCGTCCAGTACCTGCCACCTACCAGTTCCCTCCCTTCCTTGTCACTCCGTCCCGTACCTGCCACCTACCAGTTCCCTCCCTTCCTTGTCACTCCATCCCGTACCTGCCACCTACCAGTTCCCTCCCTTCCTTGTCATTCCGTCCCATCTGTCCTTCCCACTGGCCAGGGTCCTCCTGAAAAGCAAACCCAGTCCTGTCTCTTCCCTGTTTGAATCCCTGATCACTCATCCTCAAACCCAAACTCCAATAACCCTGAAATGCAGCTTCCCCGACCCCGCCGCGTGCCTTCACACATCCACCCCATCTGCCTTGAACTGCATGTCCCCTCCCTGCCCTTGCCCCATTCATGTCTCCCAGGCCTTCGGTGATTCCAACCTCCAACCTCCTGAGAGGCTCGTGGGCCATCTCCTTACTGCCTCCCAGTCCAGCCTCCCCTTCTGTGTGGGGTGGAGCCCCCTCCTAATCCTAAGGCTCTGCTTCACGGAAATGCAGCGTTCTCCTCCTGTGCACTCTGTGTCAACCTGTTCACCTGTCCTCCTCCAGTAGCCTCTGAGCTTTTTGAGGGTACAGAGAGAGTATCTTTTATCTGAGAATCTCCCATTCCTGGCATATAATAGCCACTCAAAAAGTATTTTTTTAATCAGTAAGTGAATGATGAATGTATGAGTTGTTTTTGTTACACTTTTCATTTATTCAAGATGATAGAACCACAACATCCGAAGTCAATACTTGAAATAATGGCCAAAACATAATTATGAAGAAACACTGGTCACTACGCACCTATTAGAATGGCTAAAATCCAAAACACCAACAGCACCAATGCTGGTGAGGGTGTGGACCATAGGAACTCTCAATTCACTGCTGGTGGGAATGCAAAATGGTACTGCCACTTCAGAAGACAGTTTGTCAGTTTCCTACAAGAGGAAACATATTCTTACCATATGATCCAGCAGTCGTGCTCCTTGGTATTTAGCCAAATGAATTGAAAACTTCTGTCTGCACAAAAACCTGCACACGGATGTTTATAGCAGCTTTGTTCATAATTGGCAAAACTTAGGAGCAACCAAGATGTCCTTTTGCAGGTGAATGGATAAATAAACTGCGATACAGCTAGATGATGAGATGATTCAGTGCTAAAAGGAAATGAGCTTTCAAGCCATGAAAAGACATGGAGGAAACTTAAATGTATGTTACTAAGTGAAAGGAGCCCATCTGAAAAGGTTACCTACTGTATGAGTCCAACTGTATAACACTCCGGAAAAGGCAAAATTATGGCGACAATAAAAAGATCAGTGGTTGCCAGGGGTTGTAGAGACAGAGGGGTGAACAGGCAGGCACAGAGGAATTCTAGGGCAGTGAAACTACTCTGCATGACACTGCGGTGGTGTACACAGGTCACACATTTGTATAACACCGAGAGTGAACCCTGATAGAAACTGTGGACTTTGGGTGATAATGATGTGTCTATGTAGGACCATCGGTGTAACAAATATGCCACTTGGTGCAGGACGTAGATGGTGGGGGAGGCCGTGTGTGAGTCCCAGCAGGGGATGTATGGGAACTCTCTGTGATTTCCACTCCATTTTGTTGTGAACCTCAAACTGCTCTAAAAAATATTTTAATTTAAAAACAAGAAACACTGGCCGCATCTTCAAGGAAGTAATGATACGACATGAATGATTAAAGCAAATATATGTACACCAAGGATGAATCATGAAACCAGCTAAGGACATTCCCATGTGCCTCACCCATGAGAAGTCACAACAAGTGTGACCGTCCCATGGGATGGGCTGGCACCGATCCTGGCCTCGGGCAGCACTGGCAGGCTCTCTTTCCCCCAGATCAGCCCCCCTTGTTAGTGCCTGTTCCTGTCTGCAGACAGGGCTGTTGGGATGTGAAGTTACAGTCCATCGCAAGTGAGAGCTGGCAGTCAGGAAAATCAGTTCAGGATATCCTGGCTGGGGCTATTTTAGACTCAGTATCAGTGGCTTAGTTTCCTTTGCCGAGTAAAAGCCCTATTTAGGGCTGCACACACCCCACTGCTTCGGAAGGACTTCAGGGGATCTTAAGAGAAAATGTGTTTGAAAGATACAGGAAACGTTCTACTGCTTAACTGGGAAGAAATATACCCGAGGCTTGATGGCTTGATGCCCTTCGTGTGTGATCTGCCTCAAGATTGGGCAAGGAAAGAAAGGCCTTCCTGCCCTGTGCGTCTCCTTAGAACAGCTTTTCTAGAACCTTTGCAGTCACCAAAATACAATCTGTCTTATAAACGACTGGCTTTTCCTTGAGTCCCAGGTAGAGCATTCTTCTTACCCTATGGTGCTGTGTTCTTCCCATCATGTCCTATGGTAGTTTCTGCTCTCGGGAGCCCTGTGTCCACATTCACGACCAGCCAGCAAGTGTTGAGGGACATTTATTCTGTGGTCTTCAACTGCCAACTTTAAAAGATGATACAGTGGTTGTAGAGGGTAACTGAAAAGTTGCAGTGAAGAAACTGGACCTTTGAAAGGTTTTCCCATGATTCCAATACATTCCACCGGGCTAATCCCACCCCAAGGGTGTACAGAAGACAACTATAGACATGGAAAAATGGGGAAGGAGCCAACAATGCAGTACAGAGCCCCACATTCCCCGGAATTCACAATTCCTCTCTCCAGTGAATCGGCACAGAAAGGAAGTAAATACATTTGCCAGGACTTCAGTTAGCACTTGCTTGGGTGCAAGTGACAGAAACCCAACTTGAAGTAACTTAAGCAAAATAAGAGGGTTCACTGCTTCACAAGGATAATCTATAATCAGACCCAGCTTGGTCCAGGGCCCCATCTATGTCAGAAGGACTCGCTCTTTCCATCTCTCTCTTTCCACCTTTCAGCACTGCGCTCCTCCTGGTTGACTTCCCATTCAGATGGTCTCAGCCTTCAGAATGACAAAATAGGCACCGACAGTTCCAAGTTTTTGTCCTCCCAGGCAAGCAACCCCAGTGAAAGAGAACAGGAGGGTTCCTCCCTCCGTGTACCAAGTCCTGCAACCCAATCTCACGAGACCTGCTTGGGTCACCTGCCCAGCCTGGAACCAATTCCTGGAGCTCTGAGGATACCAGGAGATCTGCTGCTCCAGAACTAAGCACCCCCAACCTGCTGCAGAGTGAGGAGTCAGCCCCCTCAAACCTCACGGAGCGAGAGCGGGACAGGCTGGCTGCCAGTGGAAAGTCAGGGTGGACTGGCCGTGGGCGACAGAGTAACAGTCCACTGCACTTCCCTTGTGCACAGCGGCCTTGGTATGATGCTAGCGAGTAGAGAAGTCAGGCAATACCACCACTTGGCCACCTAACAAGGGCCGGCAAAGGCTGAGGTGAAGAACAGGGGCTTTCAGAGCAGTTGCCAAACCTCGGGCCTGGCACGGCCGTCCTGTGCACCTCCCTGGCCCCCACGCTGTCAGCCACAGGGCTCCTTCTGCCTCTGCAAAGCTCTGCAGCCTATGCCCCCTTCCCATGCCCACCCCCACCTCGGTCAGCCCACAAGCACCAGCATGAGCTTCGTCGGCTGCAGTGACAGAGCCACACCACCTCAGCCACTCAACACAACACAAGCACGCCTCCTTCAGCTCTCCTTGAATCTTAGCTGGCCTGTGACTTGCTTTGACCAGCATGGCGTGGCAGGCCAGGTTTCCATTAGCAACCAGAACACTCAGTTTCCACTAATCCTTTACTATAATTTTAATGAATACATAAGTTAAACATTAAAGAACTGGAGAAACTGGTGCCTGAGTATGAGGGCTGGAATATGAAATCAAAATGAAGACCCACCTGGATTTTCTCAGATCCTAAAGTCTGATCAAATAATAATAGCATTTTTATATGTGCACCTCGTACCAGGACCCACTGAAGATTAAGAAAGTTTCTAAGACTCTTGAGAAAGCTTTCCGGACCCTAGACCCTAATTAAAGATTAGATCTAGGCCGGGTGCAGGGGTTCACACCTGTAATCCCAGCACTTTGGGAGGCCGAGGCGGGTGGTTCACCTGAGGTCAGGAGTTCGAGACCAGCCTGACCAACACAGAGAAACCCCATCTCTACTAAAAATACAAAAATTAGCCAGGTGTGGTGGCAGGTGCCTGTAATCACAGCTACTCGGGAGGCTGAGGTAGGAGAATGGCTTGAGCCCGGGAGGCAGAGGTTGCCATGAGCCAAGATCACGCCACTACACTCCAGCCTGGGTGACGGACTGAGACGCCATCTAAAAATAAAAAATAAAAATAAAGATTAGATATAGACTGAATGAAACACTCCTGTTTAGATATAGATTGAATGAAACACTCCTATTTGTAGGTGCAATTCCACACACAGCATGGAACTTAAACATAAGCACTAGAAAAAAAACTTGTAACTTTGAGTTGGTCTGGTGAGTTACTCCAACCTTGTCCCTGTAACTGGTTGCACAAATATAAACTCCTTTCTTTCCCAGTCTGTCTACATCTCATTATTAGACTGCAAGAACAAGCAGCCGGACCTTGTTCTGTCCAGGAACAGCAGTACAGCAGAAGAGATGCTGGGCCAGCTCCGACCTTGAGCTTAAGGGGCTCGGCAACTCCGCTTTAGTTCTCTTGGAGCCCTGAGCCACCTCCTGAGAGGCTGATGGAACAAGGCCCCAGCAGGTCCCCAGCCAATCCAGCCACCCAGGCTGAGGCACCAGACACATGAGTGAGGCCACCTGAGGCGTTCCAGTTCCAAACTGAGGTCCCAGATGAATGCTGTCAACACCTGTGGAGCAATGGCTCTAGCTAACACCCCACAGAGCAGAAGAACCTCCCCCGCGAGCCCAGACAGCTTACAGAAATTTGAGATATAATAAATCATAGTTATTTTATGCTAGTAACTTTTGAGATGACTTGTTACATAGCAATAGAAACTGAGACAACACATAAATCCTACTTCTCCAGCCTCGTGCCCTTCCTGGCACTCCATACCCTTGGCTCCATCCACACACCCTTGAACACCTCCTCCTGATGTGCCTGACAAACTCCTACTTATCCCTCAAGACCCAGCTGAAACCTTCACATCCTTTGACGTCCTCCCTAGTCACTCCCTCTCACTCCCCGAAATCCCTTCTTCCACCTGTTCCTTGGAACATTCCTTTATTAGAGCCTCCATTCGCAGAGAGTTTGCTTTTTCTTTGCTTTTGTCATGGCCGCCTCCACTAACTAGCCTGTGGCTCTGTGAGAGCAGAGATGGTCTCCTATTAATCTGTGGACCTCCAGTTCCTGATGAAGTGCCTGGTACATGATAGATACTCAACGTACATTTGAAAGAACGGATGAATAAACATATGAAAGAAAATGAAGGAATACAAAGTACATTGTTTTTTCTTTACAAGCCCTCATCTGAGTCTAGATGGAGGCAGGGAGGCAAGTCTTAAAACTTGCCTCCATCCCCACTTATGGCTTCTGTTGAGCACTCTCAAATGTGTGCTTGTCTACAAGCCTGGGAACATGAAGGAACGGGTCTTAGCACAGCTCCTGAGCACCTTTCACCTGGACTGTGAACAGCACACTCTCCCAGGAGTTGCTGCTCCTTGCAGAACTGTTGCTGCCATCTGGAATCTGCAAGCAGAGGCTGCGTGGACCCTGCATAGCCTGGCCAAGGACTGGCATGTCTGAACTGAACTTTGGAGCTCCTGGAGGTTTGTTTTAAGGGTCCTCAGGATTTTTGAAAAATCAGGTATGGTAAGACATGCAGATATAAAAATGACTGTCATGGATGAAGAAGTGTTTACTCACAATTCCCTGGAAGCAGGTGTCGATAAAAAGAGTCAAACTCTGTAAATATTTAAGGAGAGTTATTCTGAGCCGGCCGGGCGCGGTGGCTCACGTCTGTAATCCCAGCACTTTGGGAGGCCGAGGCGGGCAGATCACGAGGTCAGGAAATCAAGACCATCCTGGCTAATATGGTGAAACCCCGTCTCTACTAAAAATACAAAACATTAGCCAGGCATGGTGGCAGGCACCTGTAATCCCAGCTACACAGGAGGCTGAGGCAGGAGAATGGCATGAACCCGGGAGGCGGAGCTTGCAGTGAGCCGAGATAGCGCCACTGCACTCCGGCCTGGGTGACACAGTGAGACTCTGTCTCGAGAAAAAAAATAATAATAAAGAGAGTTATTCTGAGCCAAATATGAGTGACTAAGGCCCAAGGCACAGTCTCAAGAGGTCCTGAGAACATGTGCCCAAGGTGGTTGGGTTACAGCTTGGTTTTATGCATTTTAGGGGGACAGAAGTTAAACCCAGCCATCAATCAATACGTGTAAGGTGTAGAGTGGTAGTTTGGTCCAGGAAGGTGGGACAACTTGAGGCAGTCACAGTGCGGGGTGAGGAGGACTTCCAGGTGGATTCCAAGATTTTCTGATTGACAGTTGGTTGAAATGTAACTTCCCAATAGGTTCGTCTTGCCTGCTGCCTAGACAGAGCCAATTTATTAAGACAGGGGAATTGCAATAGAGAAAGAGTAATTCATGCAGAGCCAGCTGTGCAGGAGACTAGAGTTTTATTATTACTCAAATCAGTCTCTGAGCATTTGGGGATCAGAGTTTTTAAAGATAATTTGGCAGGCAAAGGCTTGGGAAGTGGGGAGTGCTGATTGGTCAGGTGGGAGATGGAATCATAGGGAGTTGAAGTGAGTTTTTCTTGCCATTTTCTGTTCCTGGGTGGGATGGCAGAACTGGTTGAGCCACATTACTGGTCTGGGTGGTGTCAGCTCATCCATCGAGTGCAGGGTCTGCAAAATATCTCACGCACTGATCTTAGGTTTTACAATAGTGATATCCCCAGGAGCGATTTGGGGAGATTCAGACTCTTGGAGCCAGAAGCTGCATGACCCCTAAACTATAATTTCTATCTTGTACCTAATTTGTTAGTCCTGCAAAGGCAGACTGGTCCCCAGACAAGAAGGGGGTCTTTTCAGGAAAGGGCTGTTATCAATTTTGTTTCAGAGTCAAACCATGAACTGAATTCCTTCCCAAAGTTAGTCTATGTCTTCCCAAAGTTGGTCTATGTCCAGCAATAAACAAAAACAGCTTAAAGGTTAGAAGCAAGATGGAGTCGGTTAGGTCTGATTTCTTTCACTGTCATAATTTCCTCAGTTATAATTTTGCAAAGGCGGTTTCAGAAAGAGTTAAGTTATTATCTAAAGAATTGGAATCAATAGAAGGGAGTCTCTGGGTTAAAAGAGGGGTTGTAGAGACCAAGGTTCTTATTATGTAGTTGAAGCTTCCAGGTAGCAGGCTTCAGAGAGAATAGATGGTAAATGTCTCTTATCAAACCTAAAAAGCTACCAGATTCTTAACCTCTCCTGGATCAGGAAGAGACCTAGAAAGGGAAGGGGATTCTCTAGAGAGTATAGATTTTCCCTGCAAGAGGTAGCTTTGCAGGGCCATTTCAAAATATATCAAAGAGGTCGGGTACAGTGGCTCACACCTGTAATCCCAGCACTTTAGGAGGCTGAGGCAGGATTGCTTGAGCCCGGGAGTTTGAAACCAGCCTGGGCAAAATAGTGAGACCCTGTCTCTATAAAAATCCATTTAGTCGGTTGTGGGGCTTTTTATTTTTGGTTTACACAGGAGACAGGGCACACTGGGCAGGGCCACACAGGGATGCACTAGGTTGGTCGAAATGCATGGGAGTGGGTGGGTGAGGTGTGAACAAGAACCTTCACTGCGCCTTCTGTAGGAAGGCGTGGGCCAGGCAGCGGCAGCGGGCTGAGGGATGGACAGTGAATAATTTCAGCATGCTGTGGGCATAGGGGCTGTCCCTAGCTGTCTGGCATCTGGCCCTGAGATAAGGGCAGGTGGATGGTGGCCTGGAGTGTGAGGGCCAATGGAAGAGGTGGTTGGGGTGCGGGTGCTGGATGAGTTCCTTTGAATAAGAAAGGCACACCCTGGGTGAGTTGTTTACTGTCTCCAGGAATTGGCCCCAGGGTCAGTGAGACCCTGGATGCTGAAGCATCAGAGAAACAGGGTAGAAACGGCTCCTCTCCTCCCCGTGACACGGAGCCCTGCAGGCATCCAGGACAGAGCCTTTCCTGGGGCTATTGAATGTGACAAATCTGGTTAATCAAGAGACATCCCAGGAGGACTCCATTATGCCCTGCACATAAAAGGCAACACCTATCACTAAAGACACCTCTGACTCTGCGCTGCCACCCGGCAGTGCGAGGACCACATACTGACCAGGTGTGGAGCCGATGCCCAGACCCGTGATGGCAGGTGAGGAATGCCTTCACGGCCTTCACAGCTGCTCTACATGCCTTAGTTTTAGGCAAATCAGCACGGAGTAGCAGAAGAATAGTGCATGCTTCAGCCATAGATAATTAAAAAGCAAGCAGGTCTTGAACACTATAGTGTATTATTGCTATAAAATTTCTAGGAGAAAAATTTCACGCGCGTCCATGTGAAGAGACCACCAAACAGGCTTTGTGTGAGCAACATGGCTGTTTATTTCACCTGGGTGCAGGCGGGCTGAGTCCGAAAAGAGAGTCAACGAAGGGAGATAGGGGTGCAGCCGTTTTATAAGAGTTGGGTAGGTAAAGGAAAATTACAGTCAAAGGGGGTTTGTTCTCTGGCGGGCAGGAGTGGGGGTCTCAAGGTGCTCACTGGGGGAGCTTTTTGAGCCAGGATGAGCCAGGAAAAGGACTTTCACAAGGTAATGTCATCACTTAAGGCAAGGACCGGCCATTTTCACTTCTTTTGTGGTGGAATGTCATCAGTTAAGGTGGGGCAGGGCATTTTCACTTCTTTTGTGGTTCTTCAGTTACTTCAGGCCATCTGGGTGTATACGTGCAAGTCACAGGGGATGTGATGGCTTGGCTTGGGCTCAGAGGCCTGACATTCCTGCCTTCTTATATTAATAAGAAAAATAAAAATAGTGTTGAAGTGTGGGGGCAACGAAAATTTTTGGGGGGTGGCATGGAGAGATAATGGGCAACGTTTCTCAGGGCTGCTTCGAGCGGGATTAGGGGCAGCGTGGGAACCTAGAGTGGGAGAGATTAAGCTGAAGGAAGATTTTGTGGTAAGGGGTGATATTGTGGGGTTGTTAGAAGAAACATTTGTCGTGTAGAATGATTGGTGATGGCCTGGATATGGTTTTCTATGAATTGAAAAACTAAATGGAATAAGAGAAGGAGAAAAACAGGTATTAAAGGACTAAGAATTGGGAGGACCTAGGACATCTGATTAGAGAGTGCCTAAGAAGATTCAGCATAGTCCTGCCAGCAAAGATTATTGATTTACTTCAAGAGTTAAGAGTGGCAGTTTGGGGATAGCACCAGGAGATATCAGCTGTGATGGCTTGGAGAAACAGTGTAAACCGGCCGTGTAAACAAGAGCAGGGCATGTATGAGTAGTTCAGAATGGTGAATAGGAGTATGACTAGACGGAAGATAGTAGGGATGACAAGTTTTTTTGGGGCACAGTCTAAGTTGGTCTGGTGTCTGGAATGAGACTGGGGCCTAATAAAAAGGAGCATCTATACAGGAGCTCAAATGCGCTGTACCCTGTAGCATTCTGAGGACAGGTCTGACTTCTGAGAAGGGAAAGTGGTAAAAGTATTGTCCAGTCCTTTTTAAGTTGGTGGCTGAGCTTGGTGAGGTGTGTTTTTAAAAGACTATTAGTCTGTTCTACTTTTCCTGAAGACTGAGGACTGTAAGGGATATAAAGGTTTCACTGAATACTAAGAGCCTGAAAAACTGCTTGGCTGATTTGACTAATAAAGGCTGGTCTGTTATCAGACTGTGTAGAGGTGGGAAGGCTAAACTGAGGAATTATGTCTGACAGAAGGGAAGAAATGACTGCGGTGGCCATCCCAGACCCTGTAGGAAAGGCCTTTACCTATCCAGTGAAAGCGTCTACCTAGACTAAGAGATATTTTAGTTATCTGACTTGGGGCATGTTGAGTAAAGCCAATTTGCCAGTCCTGGGTGGGGGCAAATCCTCGAGCTTGATGTGTAGGGAAGGGAGGGGGCCTGAATAATCCCTGAGGAGTAGTAGAATAGCAGATGGAACACTGAGAAGTTATTTCCTTGAGGATAGATTTCTACGATGGAAAGGAAATGAGAGGTTCTAAGAGGCGGGCTAGTGGCTTGTACTCTAGCATAGCCTGCCTTTGCTGGTGTGTGGCGATTAGGCCTGGTGGAACTGCCATCAATAAATCAAGCGTGATCAGGGTGAGGAACAGGAAAGAAGGAAATATGGGGAAACGGGGTGAATGTCAGGTGGATCAGAGAGATACAGTCATGGAGGTCAGGTGTGGTATCAGGAATAATGTGGGAGGCCAGATTGAAGTCTGGGCCAGGAACAATGGTAATTGTGGGACTTAACAAAGAGTGAGTACAGCTGAAGGAGCCGGGGAGCAGAAAGTATGTGCGTCAGGTATGAGGAAGAAAATAGATTTTGGAAGTTATGAGAAATGTAGAGAGTGGGTTGAGCATAGTTTGTGATTTTGAGGGCCTCTAAAAGTATTAGGGCGGCAGCAGCCGCTGCACGGAGACATGATGGCTAGGCTAAAACAGTAAGGTCAAGTTGTTTGGACAGAAAGGCTACAGGGTGCGGTCCTGGCTCTTGTGTAAGAATTCTGACCGCACTAACTATGCCTAGGAAGGAAAGGAGTTGTTATTTTGTAAGGGATTGAGGTTTGGGAGATTAATTGGACACGATCAGCAGGGAGAGCACATGTGTTTTTATGAGAATTATGCCGAGATAGGTAACAGATGAGGATGAAATTTGGGCTTGACTGAAGTAATGGGGTCTGTCTTTGAAGCCTTGCGGCAGTACAGCCCAGGTAATTTGCTGAGCCTAATGCATGTCAGGGTCAGTCTAAGTGAAAGCAAAGAGAGGCTGGGATGAAGGGCGCAAAGGAATAGTAAAGAAAGCATGTTTGAGATCTAGAACAGAATAATGGGTTGTAGAGGGAGGTATTGAGGATAGGAGAGTATATGGGTTTGACACCATGGGATGGATAGGCAAAACAATTTGGTTGATAAGGCGCAGATTCTGAACTAACCTGTAAGCCTTGTCTGGTTTTAGGACAGGTAAAATGGAGGAATGGTAAGAAGAGTTCATAGGCTTTAAAAGGCCATGCTGTAGCAGGCGAGTGATAACAGGCTTTAATCTTTTCAAAGCATGCTGTGGGATGGGATATTAGCATTGAGTGGGGTGAGAGTGATTAGGTTTTAATGGGATGGTAAGGGGTGCATGATCGGTCGCTAAGGAGGGAGTAGAGGTGTCTTATACTTGTGGGTTAAGGTGGGGAGATACAAGGGGAGGATATGAAGGAGGCTTTGAACTGGGGGAAAAGGCGGCAGTGAGGTGTGGCTGTAGCCTAGGAACAGTCAGGGAAGCAGATAATTTAGTTAAAGTGTCTCGGCCTAATAAGGTAACTGGGCAGGTGGGGATAACTAAAAAGGAGTGCTTAAAAGAGTATTGTCTAAATTGGCACCAGAGTTGGGGAGTTTTAAGAGGTTTAGAAGCCTGGCTGTCAATATGCACAACAGTTATGGAGGCAAGGGAAACAGGCCCTTGAAAAGAAGGTAACGTGGAGTGAGTAGCCTCCGTATTAAGAAGGGGACGGACTTACCCTCCACTGTGAGAGTTACCTAGAGCGTCTGTGATGGTCCTGCAGGCTTCCGAGGCGATCGGGCAGTGTCAGTCTTCAGCTGCTAAGCCGAGAAGATCTGGGAAGGAGTCATTCAGAGAGCCTTGGGCCAGAGTTCCAGGGGCTCTAGAAGTGGCTGCCAGGTGAGTTGAACAGTCCAATTTTCAGTGGGGTCCTGCACAGATGGGACACGGCTTAGGAGGAATCCTGGGCTGTGTGCATTCCTTGGCCTAGTGGCCAGATTTCCAGCACTTGTAGCAACCTCCTGGGGGAGGAGGTTCTGGAGGAACCCCTGGCAGCTGCGGTTCAGGTGTTTGGAGTTCTTGTGTGCTGGAGATGTGGCTGGGGTTTGTCTCACAGTGGAAGCAAAGAATTGCAACTTAGAAATATGTTGCTGCTTGGCTGCCTCTACTCTATTATTGTACACCTTGAAGATGAGGTTAATTAAGTCCTGTTGTGGGGTTTGAGGGCCGGAATTTAATTTTTGGAGTTTTATTTAATGTCAGGAGCAGATGGGGTAATAAAATGTATATTGAGAATAAGATGGCCTTTTGACCTTTTAGGGTCTAGGGCTATAAAGTGTCTCAGGTTTGCTGCCAAACGAGCCATGAACTGGGCTGGATTTTTTATATTTGATGAAAAAGAGTCTAAACGCTAACTGATTTGGGAGAGGTCAGATAAAGAAAAAGGAGAATTAACTTTGACTATGCCTTTAGCTCCAGCCACCTTTTTAAGAGGAAATTGCTGGGCAGGTCGGGGAGGGCTAGTCACGGAATGAAACTGTAAACTGGACCAGGTGTGAGGAGGGGAGGTGATAAAAGGATTATAGGGTGGAGGAGCAGAGGCTGAGGAAGAATTGGGACCTAGCTCGGCCTGGCAAGGAGGGGAGAGGTCAGATGGGTCTGTAGAAAAGGAAGATTAGAAAGACTCAGCGACGCTTGTGGTTGGGACTGAGGGGACAGGCGGGAGGGAAAGAAGGAAGATTTGGGACTAGTTGCATTGCGAACAGAGACTAGGGAGGGACTGATGTGTAAAACAGTGCCTGGATGTCAGGCCCCTCAGACCATTTTCTTATTTTTCAACAAAAATTATTTAGGTCTTGCAGGATGGAGAAATCGAAAGTGCCATTTTCTGGCCATTTAGAACCACTGTCGAGTTTGTATTGGGGTCAGGTGGCATTGTAGAAGAAAATAAGGCATTTAGGTTTTAGGTCAGGTGAGAGTTGAAGAGGTTTTATGTTCTTAAAGAACACAGGCTAAGGGAGAAGAAGGAGGAATGGAGGGTGGAAGGTTGCCTATAGTGAAAGAGGCAAGTTTAAAGAAAAGGAAGAGTAGAGACACAGAGGGAAGCGGTTCGGGGGTTCTTACCCTCCAGAAAAGCAGGAAAGGGGTCAGGGCGCAGAGATACGAGGTCGGGGGCGTGGAAATAAGGGATCAGGGCACAGAGATATAAGAGGCTGGGGCATGGAAATAAGGGATCGGGGCACAGAGACACGAGGTTGGGGTACTTGCCCTTCCCCTAGAAAAGTGGGACTTGCTGCTAAGGGTGAAGGAGAAGGGGTTGGGGGTTTCTTGCCTCCCAGAAAGGCGGAGAAGGGGTAGAGACACGGAGAGAAGGGGTTGGGGTACTTGCCCTTCCCCTAGAAAAATGGGACTTGCCACTAAGAGTGAAGGAGAAGGGGTTGAGGGTTTCTTGCCCCCTAGAAAGGCAGAGAAGGGGTAGAGACACGGAGAGAAGGGGTTGGGGTACTTGCCCCTCCCCCAGAAAAGTGGGACTTGCCACTAAGGGTGAAGGACCAAGGCAGGTGTCCTTGCGTGGTCTGACACCTCTGAAACATGGGTGAATAATTAGAGAGGCGTCCCTGCAATGATTAAACACCAAGGGAAGCCTGCCTTCCCAGTCCGTGACTGGCACCAGAGTTTTGGATCCACAGATAAAACGTGTCTCCTTTGTCTCTACCAGAAAATGAAAGGAATTGAAATTAAAAGAAGGGAGAGATTGAAGTGTGGCACCAAGATTGAAAGGAGAAAGAGGTGGAGGGATAGTGAGGGAGGTTGGAGAAGAGAGTAAAAAGAGGCTGCTTACCGGATTTGAAATTGGTGAGATGTTTCTTGGGCTGGTTGGTCTGAGGACCTGAGGTCGTAGGTGGATCTTTCTCATGGAGCAAAGAGCAGGAGGACAGGGGATTGATCTCCTAAGGGAGGTCCCCTGATCCGAGTCACGCACCAAATTTCATGCGCGTCCATGTGAAGGGACCACCAAACAGGCTTTGTGTGAGCAACATGGCTGTTTATTTCACCTGGGTGCAGGTGGGCTGAGTCCGAAAAGAGAGTCAGTGAAGGGAGATAGGGGTGGGGCCGTTTTATAAGATTTGGGTAGGTAAAGGAAAATTACGGTCAAAGGGGGTTTGTTCTCTGGCACGCAGGAGTGGGGGTCACAAGGTGCTCAGTGGGGGAGCTTTTTGAGCCAGGATAGGAAAAGGACTTTCACAAGGTAATGTCATCAGTTAAGGCAAGGACCGGCCATTTTCACTTCTTTTGTGGTGGAATGTCATCAGTTAAGGCAAGGACCGGCCATTTACACTTCTTTTGTGGTGGAATGTCGTCAGTTAAGGCGGAGCAGGGCATTTTCACTTCTTCTGTGATTCTTCAGTTACTTCAGGCCATCTGGGCATATATGTGCAAGTCAGAGAGGATGCGATGGCTTGGCTCAGGCTCAGAGGCCTGATAAAAAATACCCAAAACTACTGCAGCAATTTCAGCCACTACTGACCTTTTCACCTACTTGGTGTGAACCCAAAATACCAGAGATGGGTCTCACTCAATTGAGAAAGTTTATTTTGCCAAAGGTTAAGGACATGCCCGTGACACAGCCTCAGGAGGGCCTGACAACATGAGCCCAAGGGGGTCGGGGTACAGCTTGCTTTTATACGTTTTAGGGAGACATAATACATCAATCAATACATGTAAGATTGACATTGGTTCGATCTGGGTGGGACAACTTGAAGTGGGGAGGGGGGAACTTTGAATTGTATTTTTGGTTTATATAGGACTGCCTTTCTTCCTTTTCTCCCCATGGGTCCTGTAGGATCTATGATGAGATAATAGGTATTTTATGCTCCAATTTTCTCATAAATCAAGGACATGAATACCCAATGATCTCAGCTTCTGGTCATTAGAGATAAGCAGTGTTTCCATGGTGTCTCTGTTTAATTCTAGTCAAAAGCAAAGGAACATGATGTATTGGTTAGCCTGTGTAGCATCATTGCAGCCTGATGGGTGACACTTCACAAACTTGTAGTATGCTAAAAATAGGCCACGAAACCCAATGGACTCACCCTGTTACTGGTGGAAGGTGTCCAAGTTACTAGCAGTGAATCCATACGGGTCTGCACCAACCTCAATTCTTGCCTCCTCAGAAGAAAGAAATTGGACTTAGGGGCACAAGGCAGAAAAAGAGACCGAGGCAAGTTTCAGAGCAGGAGAGAGCAGGAAAGAAAGGAAAGTACACTTACTTGGAAGAGTCTCAAGTGGGCAACTTGAAGAACGAATGTGGCATTTAAACTTGATCCTAGGACTTTATAGCCTGGCCCACCTCTGGTATCTTGCAGCCCTTTCCCATAATTCTTCCCTTAGGGTGGGCTGCCCACATCTACAGAGGGGTCCTGACGCCTGGGAAGTGAGCATGAGCAGTGGGTTTACGACGTTGTATGCGGCATGCTCCCTTTTCCGGTGGAGGCCCCCAGAAAGTCATACTCCACCATTTTGTCGCTTAACGCGCATGCCTGAGCTCACTAGCCCAATAACTGAGACTTTATTGGAAGTCCTTTTTGCTTCTCCCTGGCATCTGCATTAAATTAACTCTTTAATGTTAACAGCCCTGGATCTTCAGGAGATTGTCTCGCCCTGGCGCTGGCTGCTGAATAATCACTTTTAGAAGGGCAGTGTGACCATTGTCACACCATCACCTGACACCATCACCTGACATTCCTGGTGGGTAGGGGAGAGCCCTCTCCTGCCCTGCTCAGGCCTAACTACCTGTAACAGACCCCAGTGACACCCTAGAGTCAGGATGTGTGCTTTGGAACAATGGACCACAGCTAGAAAAACTCAGAGCAGTTGAACCCAAGTACCATCTGCCAGCTCCATAAGAGTAAAGATAACCTCATAATGTAACCACCCAATGGGCTTTTCTTGCCTGCTGCCCAGGTAGAGCCGATTTATTAAGGCAGGGGAATTGCAATGGAGAAAGAGTTTAATTCACACAGAGCCAGCTGAACGGGAGACTGGACTCTTACTATTACCCAAATCAGTCTTCCCAAGAATTCAGGGGCTAGGGTTTTTCGAAGGTAGTTTGCGGAAAGGGGTGGGGGTGGCTAGGCAATGGGTGCTTGCTGCCAATTGGTTGGGGGTGCAATCAGAGGGGTGTGGGAAATGGTCCTCCTGAGCTGAGTCGCTTCTGGGTAGGGCCACAGGAACACTTGGGGGATCCAGGTGGAGCCATTATCAGTGTGAGACATGCAGAAAACCTGAAAAGACATCTCAAAAGGCCAATCTTAACGTTCTACAGTAGTGATGTTATCTGCAGGAATAACTGTGGAAGTTGCATATCTTGTGACCTCCGGAGTAATGGCTGGCAATTGTTTATGTCTCCACCTTAGCCAAATTCAGGTTCCTCTATCCTCCTAGCCTGGTGGTCTCTCATTAGCTTTACAAAGGAGGTTCAATTTGGGGGAAAGGCTATTATCATTTAAACTATAAACTAAACATCTCCCAAAGTTAGCTTAGCCTAAGCCCAGGAATAATTAAGGGCAGTTGAAGACTAAAGGCGAAAGGGGGATTGGCCAGATCAGATCTCCTCCAGAGCCATAATTTTCTCAATGATATAATTTTTTGCAAAGGCAATTACAATAAGGATAATAGTAATATCCTTACATGTTCCACATACCACGACAAGCATTTCCTATGCATTGCTTCAGTTAATTTTCATATCAATCTTATGAAACAGGATCCTAGAGATGAAAGCCAAGGTCCTGCTGAATGGGAAGCCAGGTTGAGAACTTAGTCCTTTCTGACTTCAAAGCTTGTGCTTTCACTCCTGTGTTATGTTGGAATGCGAGCTTTGAGGATCTCTGAAAAAAAAAAACCATATTAATATGCTCAGACTGCATAACAAAATGCCACAAGCTGGGTGGCTTAAACAGACATTGGTCTTTTTACAGGTCTGCAGGCCCTACAGGTGCCCTCAGGGTTGGTTTCAGGTGAGGCCTCTCTTCCTGGTGTGCGCAGGGCCGCCTTCTTGCTGTGTCCTCACTCAGCCTTTTCTCTGTGCACCTGCAGAGAGAGAGACAGAGAGAGAGAGAGAGCGTGCTCCGGTGTCTCTTTCCCTTTTTTTTTTTTTTTTTTTTTGAGACGGAGTCTTACTCTGTCACCAGGCTGGAGGGCAGTGACAGGATCTCGGCTCACTGCAACCTCTGCCTTCCAGAGTCAAGCAATTCTCCTGCTTCAGCCTCCCGAGTAGCTGGGACTACAGGCACGCACCACCATGCCCAGCTAATTTTTGTATTTTTAGTAGAGACAGGGTTTCACTGTGTTAGCCAGGATAGTCTCCATCTCCTGACCTCATGATCTGCCTGCCTCAGCCTTCCAAAGTGCTGGGATTACAGGCATGAGCCATTGCCCCCAGCCTCTTTCTCTTCTTCTAAGGACACCAGTTCAGTGGATTAAGGCCTCATTTTTAGGGCCTCACTTAACCTTAATTACCTTTTTATAGGCCCTATTTCCAAATACTGTCACACTGGGGGGTTGGGCTTCAACCTATGAATTTGTGGGGGAGGGGGGACACAATTCAGTCCATTCCAAAAGTCCTTGCCGTTTTGTCATAGGCGTGTGAACCAGAGCAACTCCGTCTTGAGTAGGAGCTAGGTAAAATGAGGCAGAGACCTACTGGGCTGCATTCCCAGACAGTGAAGGCATTCTAAGTCACAGGATGTGACAGGAGGTCGGCACAAGATACAGGTCATAAATACCTTGCTGATAAAACAGGTTGCAGTGACGAAGCCGGCTAAATCCCACCAAGACCAAGATGGCCACGAGAGTGACCTCTGGTCGTCCTCACTGCTACACTCCCACAGGCACCCTGACAGTTTACAAATGCCATGGCAACATCAGGAAGTTACCCTACGTGGTCTAAAAAGGGGAGGCACGAATAATCCACCCCTTATTTAGCACATCTTGAAGAAATAACCATAAAAATGGGCAACCAGCAGCCCTCGGGTCTGCTCTGCCTATGGAGTAGCCGTTCTTTATTCCTTTACTTTCCTAATAAACTTGCTTTCACTTTACTCTATGGACTCGCCCTGAATTCTTTCTTGTGCAAGATCCAGGAACCCTCTCTTTGGGTCCGGATCGGGACCCCTTTCCTGTTACATTTCTAGTGTGTACATGGCCACCTTCTTGCTGTGTCCTCATGCGGCCTTTTCTCTGTGCACCTGCAGAGAGTGAGCTCTGCTGTCTCTTCCCCTACTTCTAAGAACACCAATCCAGTGAATTAAGGCCTCGTCCTTAGGACCTCTTTTAAACATTTGTGTGTGTGTGTGTGTGTGTGTGTGTGTGTGAGAGAGAGAGAGAGAGATGGAGTTTCACTCTGTCGCCAAGGCTGGAGTGTAGTGGCACGATCTCAGTTCACTGCAACCTCCGCCTCCTGGGTTCAAGTGATTCTCCTGCCTCAGCCTCCCAAGTAGCTGGGACTACAGGCACCCATACCACCATGCCCAGCTAATTTTTGTACTTTTAGTAGAGATGGGGTTTCACCATGTTGGCTAGGATGGTCTTGATCTCCTGACCTCAAGTAATTCACCCGCCTCAGCCTCCCAAAGTGCTGGAATTACAGGCATGAGTCACTGCTCCCGGCCTGGCCTCGTTTAACCTTCATTACCTCCTTACAGGCCATTTCCTAATGCAGTCACACTGGTGGGCAGGGCTTCAACCTGTGAATTCTGGGGGGGACACAATTCAGTCCATTCCAAAAGTCCTTGCAGTTTGTGTGGATCCACTCGGGGGCCGCTGCCTAGGGCAGGCCGGTGAGGCAGCCTGGCTATGCTCCTCTCCTCCCCGGAGTCACACTCACCTCACAGGTCCAGACACCTGGTCCCTGGGCTTACCTATATGGAAAGGGTGGTTTTTTCATTATTAGGCAGATTTTTCTGGGATGGCCTTCTTTGTTCTTCCAGAAAAACACCAGTTTGCAAGCAGAAACGCCCTCAGCTTGGAGGAGTGTGGTCACATGTTGAAAATGTGGGAGCTTGATTCAGGCAGCTCTGAATTCAAGGACTGGTTCAGTTGCCTACAGGCCACGTGACCTTGGGTAAGTCACGCAATCTTCCTGAGCCTCACTTTTTCCATGCCAAGATTCGCCTCCCAGGGTTGCTGTGGCAGAGGCGTAGATGAGCCAGCTCTATACTGCACGTGACCCTAAAAAGGATTCAGAAAACATTAGGCCCCAACAGCATCTGCGGGGACCATCTCCTTAGGGTCCCCAAGGCGTTGCCCTGCCCATTTTGCAGACCTTTTGTTGTCAACATTCAGTTAACTTAGAGCCACATTCATCCTCCAGGACCTGCAGGGTGGTGGACAAAGGCCGCATCCCCTGAAAAGCAGGCCCTGATCTGACGACTGTTCTGAGAGCCAGCACTGGCCCCAGGTTAAGAGCAGAAGGTCCCACTGCTACCCTGAGAGGCTCAAAACTAGCCATTTCCATCCCTGGGCTTCTGTGTCATCAGCTCTAAAATGATGTTGAGACCTTTGGTTCCCAAGGGGGAATGAGGGTTTCGTGTGTTGCCTAAACACTGTCCTCACCCCCTTGATCTGAGAGCAGACCAGGAGCCAACAGACTGATCAATGCCAGCTTCACTTTCCCACTGCCCAGGCTGGCCCCCAGGGAAGAGCAGGACTTGGAGGGGGACTGGCAGGCAGGATGGGCACTGGTGTATGTAAGGCAGTGCTGCCCAGTGAAAGAGGTGCCCCTTTCAGATCCACCAGCCTCTGATGGAATCTAAGCTCTACTTTTTGTTTAACTGGCCCCCTGAGGGCATGCTTCAATCCTGGAGGTACTGCAACATACGTCAATGTGTGAAGTAGACTCAGCACGCTCCTATCCCATCTCCCTCCTCCAAAAACTCATTTGATATATGTCCTCTAGTAGAGGATGTATTGATATAGGAGCTAAAAAAGAAATTATTTAGGCAGTTAGTGAGGGTAAGAGAGTCCTTGGTAAGGTTTCCCTTTTAATAAAAAGCCGTCCCCAAATCATTTCTTTTCTAACAAAGAGCAGCCCGAAACATCAAGCTGCAGACATAGAAAAGCAAGCTGGAAGCTTGCACGCTTGAATACCGGCAGCTGTGCCAATAGGAAAAGGCTACCTGGGGATCAGGCATATTCAACATGGAGGCTTCATGTTCCCTTCTTTGTCAACCATGTGTGTAGTAAAGGAACAGGCCACATGGCACCAACCAGGTAGAGAACCCATCTGCATAATAAAATATTAGGATGGGGCAGCCAGCTTTGTGCTATGTAAATGGCACACCTGCTCCAACCAATCTTTGGGCCCTGTGTAAATCAGACACCGTCTCCTGAAGCTGGTCTGTAAAACCCTGTGCATTTCACCACGAAACCGGAAGACCCACTCGGGAGCCTCTCTCACTGCAGGAGAGAACACTTTTCTCTTTTCTCTTTCTCTCACCTATTAAACCTCCACTCTTAAACTCACTTCTTGTGTGTCCGCATCTTTGATTTCCTCGGTGTGAGATGACAACACCACTTCAAGTATCAGATGTTAAACTGATAACAGATACTCGACTTGATCTTAGCCAAAAGGCCCAGAAGCTGTTGAGCTCTCCTTCCTGCTCTGTGTACCTGGGTGAGTGTCTGGGTATCTATAGGCCTCAGTTTTCCTTGTCTGTAAATTGGGCACAATACCACATTTTCTGCAGTATCACAGAAGGAGTAGATGGTCCATGCAGAGCACATGGTTAACATTAATATGTAGCTCTTAATAAGTAGTAGTTACCATTATCTCTGCCATCGTGATGTCACTTATAGCTCTCCTGGAGATGGCTGCAGGTGTGAAGAGAACTAGAGCCCAGTCCTTGGAATGCTGCAGAATTGCAGGGTGCAGAGGAAGAGGGCTGACCACACCTGGGAACATGACTCCTGTGAGCTGGCATCTCCCAGTACGCGACGACAGGGTCCTCCCACACACAGAATCCCCTCCTTGAAATTCCTGGTCACAGACATAGAACAGGCCAGCAAGGCAGGCATGGTGGCCAGGCAATGTTTTTCCTTTTGCAGTCAGCATATTTGCCTCAGGAAGAGGGGACTTTTCGGCACCCTGATGTCCCTCTGTTTGTCCCTTCACTGGAGAGCAAGCAGGTATGATTGAGGTCACTGGGGGAGGAAGGGACTGGGAGAAAGAGCATTTCTCATATGCTTTCCTTCCTAACCTCTGATGGACTTCACAAGTGTCCCTTTAACTCCTCCAGGTTGATAAGGTTCTAATGGCACCTCTGAGACCTCGAGCCTAGGTTCTCACCTAGGACAGGGAGCCACCCACAACATGGAAGCCAGAAACAGGCTAACTGGTGGCCGCTTCTTGCTCATCCATGGAGAGGAAAAGCGAAGCAAGGGTGAGGCATGGTGGGGAAACCCTGGTCAAAACTCTCTCGCCCTGAATATTCCCCTTAGAGGGCAGCTGCCTGGATGGGGGCACCCTGACTGGCTTGGCCTGGATTGACGAGCTGAACTCTGGCCAGCAGCCTGGGTCCACGGATCGCGAGGCTTATCGGAGTCTTCCCTGAGACAGGGTTCTGTTAGGAAGGAGGAAGCAGATGGAAGGTGGGCAGGCAGCTGACGGTGTCCACAACACCATCATGGAAATCTTAAATCTAAAGAGAATTGATTTCACCTGATGGCTGAGCAGAAGCATGTGTGACCAGAAAAGACCCTTGTACGAAGCTGGCCTGTGCCTCAAAAAAGGATGTCAGTCCAGGTTCTTTGCACCCACAGCGGGGAATGCAATGTCAGAGCTGGGGAGTGGCCTGGCAGGCTGAGGGGAGCGGCTCATGGACAAGGGCCATTGTCATCACCCATAGCTGTGGTGGTACACAGGATATCTGCTCTGCCAGGAGGGGCAGGGAATCAGCTGTGTCCTGGCCTCTCCCTGTCTCTCATTCTCTAGCCCAGCCATTTACCCCTATTGCTTATGGAATTCAGCCCTGGAAGAGATGTTCTATCTGCCAGGAGCTCCACCAGCTCATGCACAATCTGGCAAAGGTGCCAGAAGACAGAGGTGTCCCCAGAGGGAGCCCTAAGCAACCAGCATCCCAAATGACCACAGATGTCTGCTTCCTGCCTGAGTGAATTTTCCTTTCTCAGAAATGCAATACCTCATTGACTTGTATTATCTTTGGAATGACAATGGCCTAACTAATTGGGAATGCGTGACTTCAATAAACAGTTTCACCAACTGCTCTTTCTAAAACTGTTTTCCAGGTCAACTAGTGTGTGAGAAGCAGTTAATGCTTTGAGTTTTAGGAGAGAACAGGTCCTCTTCATTCTCTGCCCTAAGGTATCTGCCAACATCTCGTAAATCCAGGCTCACATGATAGCCTGGGCCCTAGGATGACCACGGGAATTTATCCCTTGTGTCTACACTGATGGATGTTGGTAATTTTCTGGAATATTGGGCTGAGAGGCATTCTGAGGCCACACCAGAAAGAGCCCTGTGTGTCATTCACAATGTCTGCCATGTGCAGAGGAGAGAAACGGCACAGATGCCACACACTGGATATCCCAAGGCGAAGTGGCCTTCCATATATACCATATATATTCCAAGGTCAAGAAGCAGGTACTGGCCAGGCACAGTGGCTCACGCCTGTAATCCTAGCACTTTGGGAGGCTGAGGCAGGTGGATTTCCTGGGCTCAGAAGTTCGAGACCAGCCTGGGCAACATGGTGAAACCCCATCTCTACTAAAATACAAAAAATTAGCTGGGAGTGGCAGTGTGCACCTGTAGTTCCACCCACTCAGGAGGCTGAGGCAGGAGAATTGCTAGAACCCGGGAGGCAGAGGTTGCAGTGAGCCGAGATTGTGCCACTGCACTCCAGCCTGGGCGACAGAGTGAGACTCCGTCTCTTAAAAAAAAAAAAAAGAAGAAGAAGAAGCAGGTATCTATCTACCAGAAGGACACAGAGTCCCATAGAACCACGCCCTTACCCAGGCTGAAAGAATTGCGGCCGTGAATAAACATTTCCCCTCCCTATGCCTTCCTCACGCTCAGGGACACAATCAAGAACATTTTTCTGAATTAAGCGTTCTTTCTAATTGGATACTGATGGCATAAAGAATGTCAGTTTGGGCTGGGCACAGTGACGCATGCCTGTAATCCCAGCACTTTGGGAGGCCAAGGTGGGTGGATCACATGAGCTCAGGAGTTCAAGACCAGCCTGGGAAACATAGTGAGACCTTGTCTCTACCAAAAATCAAAAGAATTAGCCAGGTGTGGCACACACCTATAGTCCCAGCTCCTTGGGAGGCTGAGGTGGGAGGATTGCTTGAGCTGGGGAGATTGAGGCTATAGTGATGTATCACTGCTATAATCAAGGCTGTAATGATCACGCCATTGCACTCTAGCCAGGGTGACAGAGTGAGACCCTGCCTCAAAAAAAAAAAAAAAAAGAGTAAAGAAAAGAAAAAAAAAAGAAAAGGGATATCAGTTTTATCTGTGTGTGTTTTTGTTATTCTCTTTTATAAAGATTTGGGATACGTGGCCTATAAAAAGAAAAAAAAATCAAGATAAAGCCTAAAAAGTAGGCATTTTGGCTCCTCTGTGTATTTGCCATGGGTTTCATCTGAGAGAAAAGCTCAAATTACATTAAACTCATGCGTAATTTGATGGTGTGCAAACCAAGGAATGAAGAAATCTTGCAACACAGTTTTGTTTTCCAGGGCTGAGTTTCCCAAACAGTGAATTAGAGCAACCCTCATGACGAAATTGGTCAGCCCTGGAATCCCAGCTGATCTGACCCAGGCTCTGCAGGGAGAAGCCTGGCCTCGGAGCAGCAGGGGCGAGGCTCTTTTCTTGCAGCCTGGAAAATAGCCCCACCCAGTCAAAGAACTAGTGAGCCATTTCCCCAAAAAAGGATCCCAGGCTCTCCCCAGTCAGAAGCTTAACTGAAGCCAGAGCTGGGTGGACCCTCGCCCACCAGGAATAGCGGCTATAATGACAAGGGTCATTGTGTGTTTTGCTGCTTAATGAAGCAGAGACATTCCTCAGGCATTTTGTCCTGGACACAGGTAGGAAGGAGGGAAGGCAAGGTAAGAAGAAGGTGGCTAAGGCTGCCTCCAACCCAGACACTAGGAAACATGGGGGAAGAGAGCAGGGGACCCAAATGTTTAAAAAACCATCATGCCGGCCATCACGTTTTAAGCAACTACTTAAGGCCAGGGCTGTCTTAGGTTCTTTTTTCATTTATAGTCACAATAGCCCTAGGTCCACTGGATGGACAAGAAAGCTGTGGCTGCAAGACTGATGCTGCTTGCCCAGGTCTCACACCTGGAGTGGCAGGGCTGGGCTCATGTTGAGGCAGCCACGTTCTTCCTGTGGCACTGGGAGGCGAGCCGTTGTCTGCTACGGGGAGACCAGCAAGAGAGAAGTGGTCAAGGTCTTTTCACAAGGAGGGAGGGATGCTTTTAGCATGAGCGATTTTACTTTGAAAATGTTCAAGCTTATATGGTTTTCTAGGGAGGTGTTTTGTTTTGTTTTTTTCTTAGTGCATTACATTCTAAATTCAATGCCCTGGAAGATACTGAATAGATGGGACAAAATCCATTAGGCTGGATGATTTATGGCTTTTCAGCATTTAGCAGGAGTGGCTTTCAATGTGAAATTGGTTGCGTGCAGCAAACCATTTTAGAAATTTGTCTCACGTTGCCCATAAGTGATTCATGCCATGCTTCCCATGCCTCTTTTTGGGAAAAGGGGAAACAATATCAACACAAAGCAAATTCAGTGTCCAGTACCTCTGTCCTTTGCGAACCCCTGCTCAGCAATCCCATGCCCGTCTGTCATCTCCGCACTTGCTGGGCTGCATTTTACTGGCCAAACAGCAATGGCTGTGACACCTGATCCATCTAGCCAGCGTTCGTCCCTTGGTTTTTTTGGTGTTTGTTTGTTTGTTTTGAGACAGGGTCTTGCTCTGTCACCGAGGCTGGAGTGCAGTGGTGCGATCATAGCTCACTGAAGCCGCAAACTCCTGGCTCAACAATCCTCCCATCTCAGTCCCCCAAGTAGCTGGGACTACAAGCATGCACCACCACACCAGCTAATTTTCATTTTTTGTAGAGATGAGGGTCTGGCTGTATTCCCCAGCCTGGTCTAGAACTCTTGGGCCTCAGACTCCCAAAGTGCTGCTATTACAAGTGTGATCCACCCCACCCAGCCTAGCTAAGTTACTCTTTATCATTCCTGCTCCTTTAAGTGAAAGAAGCTTGTGCTCGGCTGGCCCGCCCTGCTCGGGTCAGAGTGCATGCCTGCTCTACCTCTCTTCCAGCCTGAGGAGGGAGAAGTACCCCCTTCTCCCACACCACAGTGCCCACCCCCTGCTCAGAGCCATGGCTCCACCCTTATTTTATTTACTGCCTGGTGCTCACTAGGTAGGAAGCATCCAGAAGGAAACCAGGTTGTAAGGAACAGTCTTGCCTCTGCAGCTCCTAACACCAAGGTCTTACGCACAGGAAGTGCTCCATAAATGTTTTCTTGAAAAAGTAGGTCACGTGCAAGGAACTGAGGCTGAGCCGGGCGTGTTTAAGGATGGGCCTTCAAAGCATAGCTATAGAAATGCCACTCAGGTTTGGCATGAGCCTCTTATTTTTTTCAAAGTCTTTTTTAGTTTTATTAAATGTTTTATTTTTATGGATTTAGGGGTACAAATGCAGTTGTTTTACATGAATATATTGCACAGTGGTGAAATCGGGGCTTTCAGTATGCTCATTACCCAAATAGTGTACAATGAACCCAAGAGGTGATCCCTCACCCCTCCCACCTGCCCACCATTTGGAGTCTCCAGTGTCTATTATTTCCCTCTGTATGTCTGGGGGTACCTACATATAAGTAAGAAAGTGAAGTTTTGGATTTTCTGTTTCTGGGCCATTTCACTAAGGATAATGGCCCCCAGTTCTATCCATGTTGCTGCAAAAGACAATATTGCATTCTTTTTTATGGCTGAGTTGTATTCCATGATGTATGTATGTACCACTTTTTAATCCAATCATCTGGTGATGGGCACTTGGGTTGATTCCAGGACTTCGCTATTGTGAATACTGCTACAGCTGACAGTCCAGGTGTCTTTTTTATATAATGATTTATTTTCCTTCAGGTATATAACAACCAGTAGTAGGATTGCCAGATCCAAGGGTAGTTCTATTTTTCCTTCTTTGAGAACTCTCCAATTTTCCACAGAGGTTGTACTAACTTCCATTCTCACCAACAGTGTATGAGCGTTTCATTTTTCCCACATCCTTTGGGGTCCTCTTTGAGCTCAGATCCTATATCCCTCTTTCTCTATGCATTCTAAAAAGACACCATGGCAAGAAACATATAACAGGCTTTATCAGCATAGAGAAATTATCCATCTATGGTGAGTGTAGAAGTCTTGAATTAAAAAATAAAAGCTAGATTGGTTTGGTGTAATTCATCCTAGACATGTGTGGCCAACTACTTTACGGAACAAGTGAAACAAACATGAAATTGCTTTATTTTTCTCATAAACGTCTAGTCCCTTAGGGATCCTATTCTGATTCCATCTCTTGGATGACACAGGGTTTTTTTTTTTTCAAAGTCTTGTCCAATCCATTTTAATTCACTTCCATTGCACATCCTCACCTCCTAGCAGAAGGAGTAGTAGGTCCCAGCCTCAGAGCCTTGGTTTGCAGAGGGGTGAGAGTCTCTGCCCAACTCCTTCTTCCTCCTCTCTTTTCTCCAATGTGCTGTGAAGGGAAGAAGGGAGGCAGAGGAGATCAAAGTCTTTATTCACGCAGTGCCACTGGGGACTTCCCTTGGCCATTGTTGCCTGCTGGGTGGCGGGCCCTTTCTGTGGAAGTTTCTTAGGGGCCTCCCCAGCCACAACTCCCTGATGAGGCAGTGTGCTCTGGCCCGGCCCACTCTGACCCCATGCCCAGGTCCTGCCCGCAGGGTGCATCCCACTGCAGGGTGCCTCTTGCTCCCAGGATAATGGCAGAAAAGCTCCCGAACCTCCCAGAATGTCCTCAACCCACCATTGTGCTCACTTCTAGGTGAGAGCGCAGTGGCTTAACCATGGACCCATCCTCTGCCATGTCAGGTGGGCACCCCTGGAATGATAATAAAATAAGGTTTATCCGGAGAGGCTCCAGAAGCAAGAAAATAGACATTGTCTCTACCCTTTTCCAAGCTCAGGGTAAAATGGTCTCATTCTTTCATAACAATTACAGGGTTAGCCATTATGTTAATGGAGAAGAGCCAAAAGCCAGAAAATACAAAATAACAGTCAATCCTAAAGCACTTACACATTATCTTGGAATTAAGCCAAGGACTTAAAGACAGCAGCAAACCCTTTTAAACTCTGGCAGACACATTTGGCTCAGGCGTGTCTTTTCCTGCCTCAGTCTCAGTCTTTCCTGGCACTGAGTGACGATAACTCAATTAGATGCGAAATGTGCTTAGAAGAGAACTCAGCGAAGATAGTGCTGTGACAGCAGTCGCGATTAGAGGAGAGACACACACACCGTAGCTCAGTGATGCTCAAAGGAAGGACGGTGTGAAGGTGAATTTGAGCTTCCGAAATGAATATAAAAGAGTCAAGATGGCCGGGCATGGTGGCTCACGCCTGTAATCCCAACATTTTGGGAGGCCGAGGCAGGTGGATCACCTGAGGTCAGGAGTTCGAGACCATCCTGACCAACATGGTGAAACCCCGTCTCTACTAAAAAATACAAAATTAGCTAGGCGTGGTGGCGCGTGCCCATAACTCCAGCTCCTTGGGAGGCTGAGGCAGGAGAATCACTTGAACCTGGCAGATGGAGGTTGCAGTAAGCCAAAGGTTGCAGTGAGCCGAGATTGAGCCACTACACTCCAGCCTAGACAACAGAGTCAGACTCTGTCTCAAAGTGAAAAAAAAAAGAGTCAAGACTTGAGCCTCCTCATTCTTGGATGTTCTTGAATATTCATTAGCATGTCTGGTCGCAAGGTTTGCTATATGAAATGCTACATGAATAATGAAGGATGCTGTTCTCCTTTAAAGATAAAGAGCTCTCCCCTTCCAAAACACTACATCCCTTAGAGTCGCAAATAGAAGAACCCTAATATCCTAATGTCTGGTGTTGTACACTTTGTTGATTGCAACTAGAATCCATCCTCCCCTTTCCCTTTCCTAAGGGGTTTCAGATTTTCATTTAAGTAGCCTCTCCTGCCTCATGCAGCCCATGGCTTTGGGAGAGGAAGGCCCCTCCCTCAGGAAGGCCCTGGTTAATCTAAAACAGAGAATGGAGCGATTGTATCTCACAGGGGTCTACAGTGATGGGTTTAGGCGTTGAGTATGGCATTCAGACAAATCACAGCATTGGTTCAGCAATGGCCTGGGACCCAGCTGGGCTCATGAGACACAAGCAAAGATTTGCTAGAGGAGTCCCTCTCCCTCTGAAGTGTGGATACAAGCTCTGGGACTGTGGGACAACATTGTCACCATGAGAGAAGGCAGGCCAAGGGTGACGCTGACCCTCTGAGAGGCAGAGCAGAGAAATAAGGAGAATCCAGGGTTGTGAAGACACCTCACAGCCCATTACCCAGCTGACTGTGAAGCTGCCCTGCCTGTGGCCTCTTTAGGAAGGCGAGCTGGAGATCCCCTTACTGCCAAACCAGTCTGTTTGGGGTTGTTTAACAGTATACTGAGGCAGGAGGACAGCTTGAGGCCAGGAGTTCAAGACCAGCCTGGTTGACATAGCAAGACCTTGTTTCTACAAAAACAAAAACATTGTAACTACAGTGATCATGTAATTCCTTGCCTGAACCCAGACATCTTTGAGTGAAAGGGGCACTATTAATAATTATAGCAGGGGCCAGGCACAGTGGCTCAAGCCTATAGTCCCAGCACTTTAGGAGGCTGAGGCCAGTGGATTACTTGAGGTCAGGAGTTTGAGACCAGCCTGGCCAACATGGTGAAACCCCACCTCTACTAAAAATGCAACAGGTAGCCAGGCATGGTGGCACACCCCTGCAATTCCAGCTACTCCAGAGGCTTAGGTGGGAGAATTGCTTGAACCCGGGAGACAGAGGCTGCAGTGAGCCAAGATTGCGCCACTGCACTGCAGCCTGGGCGACACAGCGAGACCCCACCTCAAAAAAAAAAAAAATTATAGCAGGACCACAGACATAAACCAGGATTGTCCCAAGCACACCGGAATGCAGCGTCATGCTAATCTTAACGGATAGGCACCATCAGCATTCTCCAGGTGAATCACCTTAAACTTGAAGAAATAAAATCAGTTATTCAAAGGAATAAAATAACCGGATTCAGGCCCTTCTCTAATTGCTCCTCCACACTGCGGCCAGAGTGATCTCAAAACCCAGATCTGATTGTCGTCTGCCCTGCTTACAATGCTACAATGGCACTGCATTTCTCTAGGACAAAGCCTCGCTGCCTTTGTGTGGCCCGGCCTGTGTGCACACTCTGCAGGGAACCCTCTTCCCCACCGCGGCTCTCTCCTCTGACCTCCCGTCCACTCCTCCCGCTCGGTGCACCTCCTCAGGGAAGCTCGCCCTTCGTCTGAGTCAGGCTGCTTTGCTGGAGAACTTCGTGGACCGAGGTTCTTTCCCTCCTTCCCGCCCGTCCTGCTCTTTAGTGCGATGCAAGCGACCAGGGATGTGTCTGTTGTTGTTCTTTGTGGTGCTAGCACCTTCCACAGTGCCTGGCCACGTAGAGATATTCAAACCATACACATTGATGGAGTCCCAGGAATGCAACAAAAATCCTCCAAGACCCGTCTTCCAAGTTCAAAGTGTCTGGGCTCAGAAGGAGAGCCTTTCTGGGTCCTCGAGGGGAAACCAGCTCTCCTAAGTCCTCCTTTGGGTCCAGGGGCTGAATCCATAGCACTTTCCCATGAAGCCCGTTCCTGCTGGGTCCCCGGTTTCCAAGGCTCTCCTGCAAGGGGAACTGGGCGCCACCGGAATTCGGTAAAACCCTCAAGTCTGATGCAGATGCTCCCAGGTTATAGAGGTGAAGTGTTTTCATGTTTTCTTCCTAA
Source organism: Homo sapiens (assembly GCF_000001405.40). Lineage (NCBI taxonomy): Eukaryota > Metazoa > Chordata > Mammalia > Primates > Hominidae > Homo > Homo sapiens. The sequence continues at coordinate 157,722,186 of NC_000006.12, forward strand.
ACCCTAAGCTGAAAATGGGGTGATTTTTTCTTCTATTCTCTGTCATCCAAAGGTCAAATCTGCTTCTCCAATAATTACCTTCTCTTTTTGGCCGGCAGGGTAAAAAGCACTTCTTTTGTTATCCTCATCTGACAATAAGCCCTCTAACCACCATTTCTTTTGCAATATTGGTATAAGTGCTCTAGACACAGGATGTGAGGAAAAACCTTAAGTCTTGCCTGAGCCGGTGGTCACAGATGATCTCAAGCCTGTATTCCAGAGGCCACAGGATGCTACGCCCTCTAGAATTATTTTCGGTGCACATTCACTTTTCTCTCCATGTTCTCTTAACTCCAATGATGACTGTCTGTGCCTCCACAGCCATTTTGCTCCAGCCTACAGCATTTTTAGCAAAGCGCTTCTCTGTCTTTCCTCGCCTTAAGGATAGGCAGGAGGCGGATGAATCGGAGCTCGCGTAAAGCAGAAGATGAGGTATCCTGCAAATGATCCTCACTCAGTGTTTTTATCCTGTTTTTTAAAAAGCTTTTATATCCAGGGCCAGGCACGGTAGTTCATGCCTGTAATCCCAGCACTTTGGGAGGCCGAGGCGGGTGGATCACCTGAGGTCAGGAATTCAAGACCAGCCTGACCAATATGGTGAAACCCCGTCTCTACTGAAAATACAAAAATTAGCCAGGCGTGGTGGCAGACACCTGTAATCCCAGCTCCTTGGGAGGCTCAGGCACGAGAATTGCTTGAACCTGGGAGGCGGAGTTTGCAGTGAGTCAAGATCGTGCCACTGCACTCCAGCCTGGGTGACAGAGCAAGACTCTGTCTCAAAAAAAAAATTATATCTTTTACAAAATTACTAGAGACATTTTTCAAGCCCCTTGTATGAGGACACACACACACACACACACACAAATCCTCATAAAATTCAGCACCTGAAAATATCCATCTCTCTAGCCAGTTTTCTTTAATCAAGCAATGTGAACTTCATAATCTGTCCAACCACCCTTATGTCCTGAATTAATAACTTCTAGAATGAGCATTAAATTTATCCATCTCACCCTTGACCTCTCTGCGCTCCTTCTAACCTCTATTTTCACTGACCTACTTTCTACACACTTTAGTATTTTAAGCCACCTCTAAACTCTTTTAAAAGTAGACAGGGCACAAGTGATTAAAAAAATCTTTTCTTAATAGTCAAAGTTTCCTTAATCTTAGGAAACAACATTCTCTTAACAGAGTAGTTCAGAATCACTTAAAAAAATAATGCCTGAGCCTGCGAGAGCTAAACTGTCACTGTGAACTAATAACTTCAGGTCTGTTCCACAGCAAACTCGGTTTCTTGTCATTTAAGTTTCTCAAGCTCTGGGTTTTTCCCTCCCATGCCAAATCTATCATTCAGGCTCAGCCCTTGGAGGTTTTCTTCAGGCTCCAAGAAAACCAACCTCACAGAAACTGCTGAAGCGTGGCAAGCTTGTCTTGTTCGGGTTTGGATGAATATTTTATACAAAAAACCTCTGGATATCCTTCCAAAGTTGAGCCCAAGGACTCAAGATCAAGGGAGAAAGAGGTTTAGCTCCCAATACAATCTAATAGCAAGCACATTTTAGTCTTGGGAAGCCTCAGACTGAATTAGGGACAAGGGACCAGGCTGAGCAGTCCCTCCCTTTGAACTATTTTGACTCACAACACGTCTGAGACCAAATATGTGGATTTTTTCCTTCAAAACCAGTTCCCAATCTCTCAGACACCAACTGGTTGTCCTGCAATTCAATTCCATTCTGCTGATAACTTCTGGAGTAAGCACAGACCCCACCAGTTGGGGGCTCGGCCCTGTAAGACCACCTGGATTGCATGCACCAGGCTGAACTCCAAGCCACCAGTGCTTCTCACCAACTGGCTATAAAGTGGGGAGGGGTTCCCACAATCCCCTCTGCAGGTTCAAGAATTTGCTGGAACAGCTCACAGAACTCAGGAAAGTACTTTACTTACTATTACCAGTTTATTATAAAGGATCTAACTCAGGAACAAACAAATGCATAGGAAAAGGGAGGGGGCGTGGAGCTTCCATGCCCTCTCTGAACAGCCGCCCAGCACTTCAGTGTGTTCACAACCCCAGAAGGTCCCGAGGCTGTTGTTTAGGAGTAAGTGAAGCAAAATAGCTTGGAACAGTCTGAACTATGCGAGGTATGCAAAATGTACCAGGCCCAGGGAGACCTGAGTCCCACAGCATATAGCTGTAACTTCAGCTTCTTAGATTGTAGATCAACTCTCTTCCTCCTTGTTCTTGTTCTTTAAATGACTAGGAGAGATCAGAGGCCAGACCTCCCCTCTTCCAACCACTGACCCTTCTTGTAGATTAACTGCCTCCTTTACTGTCTTGTACCTAACTTCAACCAGATGGTGCAAAAGACCCCATGACACATCTTCCATATGGAATGTGAAATATGCCTTCCCTGAAAGAAAAAAACACCTTGACTAATCAGACCATTTGTGACTACGCATTAAGCCTTGTATAGAAGGATGCTGACATTCTACTAAGCACCCCCTGAATTTGTCTATATAAATGATTCCAAACTTCCACACTTTGGAACATTGACTTTCATTCTTTGGAATCTGTGCTTCCTGGGCAGCCATCTTGAAACTTGGAGCTTGAATAAACTTTCTTTAAACTAGATTCTGACCCTTTTGATTATTTTAGGTTGACGATATCATTTTATATCAGGGACGTGAGTATCCAAGGATTTTGGTATCCTCAGGGGTCCTGAAACCAATACTGCTGAGGACATGGAGAGACATGATAATTCAGGTCTGCGGGTGATAAATTCTTTCATCTTTTATATCTTCAACAAAGTTTAGCATTCATTTCTGAAAGATGTTTTCAGTCGATATCATAAGATTCCTGGTTGACTTTTTTTTCCCGATACTTCAGATGTTGCTCCACTAACTTCTCACTTGCATTGTTTCTGACAAGAAATCTGCCATGAGTCTTGTCTTTGTTTCTCTGTACATAATGTGTCTTTTTTCTCTGGTTGCTTTTAGGATTTCGTTCTTATCACGGGTTCTGAACAGTTTGGTTGTGATGTGTCTCGTGGTTTTCTTCATGTTTCTTGTGCTTGAGGTTTCCTTGTGTGGAGCTACTTAGATCTGTGGGTTGGTTAGTTTTCAACAAAATTGCACATTTTTCAACTCTTATTTTTTCAAATATTTATTCTGTCCTTCCTCTCTCTCCTCCACTTCAGGGACCTTAATTATGGATTAAGCTGATTAAAGTTTCCCACTGATACAGAACAGCTGGGCTTCTGGCTAAACCTCAGCCTTGAGCTTGGAACTGTGGCCCTAAGTGAAAACAGCTGACCTTGCTTTTCCACCCAAAAGTTGCTTTTTGGCCTGCCACACCCCTATTCTGTGCCCATAAAAAGACTTCAGCTGGCAGAGCAACACAAGCAGCTGATGCAAGCAGTCAGGGATGCAGGCCGCCGAGTGTCAGGGATACAAGTGGCTGAGTGGCAAGCAGAAAGGCATCAACTGAATGTCAGAGATTACGGATAGACGCAGATAACTTCAGACAGTGCGGCTTCAGGGAAAGGTCGCCTTCTTCCTGCACCCTTCTTCCCATACCATCCCCTTTCCAACTCCCCATTCTGCTGAGAGCCATATCCATCACCCAAGAAAATCCTCCACATACACTACCCTTCAATCCGTTTGAGTTACCTGATTCTTCCCGAACACCAAACAAGAACCTGAGTGCCGAGAGGACAGGGGTTTGGATGCTGCCACAGGCCTGCACAGAGCCTGCTCCCACCAGAGAGGAGTGACCAGCTGGTTCCAGTGTTCATTCCCTCTGTTTCCCACGCTCACTTGCTCACACACTCCCTCTCACGAGGAGTGGCCAGCAGCAGGCTGAAGGAAACAAGCCACTCCAGTTCCCACCCACAAAGGGGGTCAAGGTCAAAGGAACTGTCCCATCTCACCACACTCAGTGATGGACCATTTATTAAATTCTTCTTTCTCTGTGTGTTTCCTGTTGGGTCATCTCCGCCATTGTCTTGAAGTTTACGAATCTTTCTTCTGGAATCTCTTCCATGGTCATTAATCCCATCCAACGTATTTTTCATCTCAGCCAGTGTAGCTTTCATCTCTGAAAGTTTATTTTGGGTCCTTTTTATATCTTCCATGTCTCTCCTTAACTATTTGAACATACAGAATACAGGTATTGTGATTATTTCAATATCCTTGTCTGCTCATTCTAACATCTGTGCTAGTTCTGACTTGGTTTTGATTGATTTAGTTTTCACCTCATTACAGATTGAATTTTTATGCTTCTTTGAATACCTGGTAATTTTTTATTAGATGTCAGACATTAGGGATTTTGCCTTGTTGAATACTGGATATTTTTGTATTCTTATAAATATTCTTGGACAAATTAAGTGACTTGGAAACAGTCTCAGTTTTGCTTGCTTGCTTTGAATACTTCTTAGGTGGGACTGAGCCATGATTAATCTAGGACTCATTCCTCCTCATTACTGAGGTAAAACCTTTCTGAGTGCTGTACCCAATGCCCAATAAGGTGAAACATGAAGTTTTCTAGTCTGGCTTATGGGAACAGGTGCTACTCCTGGCCCTATCTCACTGTTTAACTAAAATATTTAAAAACAACACAGGAGTTTAAAAAAATTCAGAACTGTCACAGGTTGCCATAATTAGAAATTGCACATGGATCTGATAAAATGTTGTTCTATCAGCTAACACTGGAGTTCCACTCAGGAAGAGGATGGACTTTGGTTTTGAAAATACCTTGAGAGGTCACTCTAGTTCGGAGGTGAGGCTTCAACAGTTTATCTGGAAGGAGGCAGTGAAAAAAGAGAGCCAAAATGGTCTGTGTAAGAGGTTAGGAGAAATCTGGGTATGGTGGAAGGAAGTGAATTAATTAAGGCAAAAGGTCGAGGGAAGGGAGACAGGAGGCCAGATTGTTCCTGGAACCGAGCCGGGTCTGGCTGTGTTTTCTCGTGGCCCAATAACGAGAAGCAGACAAACTAGGAAAGAAGGGAATTTCTTGTAGTAACCAGATACAGGGAGAAGGTCAGAGATAATTCCACTAGACCAACTCAAAGTGTTACAATTTTCTTAGTGCTTATATAGATTGGGGTCATATGCCTATGTGCAGTATCACATTCACCTAAGTCTATGGGTAACTAATTTCGTTTCAACTAGAAGATCAGAGGCCAAAAAATGCTTTCTAAGTCTGATCAAGCTGTGAGGGCCCCAGTACCTTCAAGGCCTGTCTCCTAAATTCTATTTAATGAGGACTGTGGTACCAGAGTGATTATTCCTATCTTATCTCATTTGCAGTTTGGTCCAGAGAGCTGCCTTAAACTCTCCCATAAATCTATTCAAACAGCTGCCTCAGTTACCTTGACTCATCTCAGACTTCATTAACCTGAGATGGGTCCTGGCACGAGGAGTGTAAGGCTGTCTCCATCATCTTGGCTTGCTCCAGCTTTGGGAGAAGACTGTGTAGGAAGTGTGTTTCATTTCTGGCTTTGATGTCTGGGCATCAATTTCCCTGGGTTTAATTATTAGCTTAATGTTGAGGCAGTGCTGTGGAAATGTGTCTGTGTAGCTGGGGTGCTCTGCAGGCCTGTTTGTGTGATGGTCAGGGAGAATTGACCTGCCACAGCTGGCCCAGAAGCGGGTAGAGATATAGGCAGTGAAATAGAAACTCTTCATGAGATGGACAAAAGACCGAAGCAGGGGTGTCTAATATTCAATTTTAGGTTTGATTCATATCTAACATTAGACTGAGATTCAGATGTGGTGGTATAAACCTCTCCATGGCCTCAAGTTGTCGGTAAAATTCAGCTATTTATGCAGCCTTGGTCGATGGCTTGTCAAAAAATGAAATTATCAAAATCATGGCCAGTTAGGGCAGCGAGGTGCAAGCTGGGATGAAGAGATGTTCCATTAGCTGAAACGATTTTGCAGAATCAGGATTTCAGAGCTAGGGATGACCTGGAAAAATGTAATACATATGCCCTTCACCCTATGAATCCCCCAAAGAGTTTGAAGGGAACTCTAGATCTCCAGGTACACCTGGGATGGAGGTTCAAGTCAATTTCACTCAAAACCCAAAGGACAGGGTCAACTTCAGTTGACATGTCAATTAAGTATGATTAATTCTCAAACTAGTGACACCAACAACGGGTGGTAAGCATTCAGAAGAGAGTCTGTCAGGAGGACCTGGTTCAGCTGCCTTAAACATGTGTCAGAAATCGACTTCGACCTTTGCCTTCGCATCTCCCCTTGGGACAATGGGCTTTTGTACTCCAGTGTATAAATTTATGATGTTATCTGTTCTCCGCAACAAATATGACATCATGGTACAGCCCAGAAGCAATGTTATCTTTTTCCCCCTCAAGGTTAGATTGTCCCTACCATTCCTCGCTGCAGTGGCAGAGCTGCAGAGGGATTGGCTGAGGTTTGCTTCAAGTGTCATACTGCTATTTACAGCAGGTGAAACAGTTCCTTCTAGAAGGGACCTCTGTTATCTCCCCCAGTGCCCACTGGTGTCCTAGGAAAGCACAGTTGACACTGGGCTTTAAGCAGCCATTAAAGATAACACTGGGCTTTAAGCAGCCTTTCTAGGCAGGGCACAGTGGCTCATGCCTGTAATCCCTGCACTTTGGGAGGCCAAGGTGGGTGGATCACTTGAAGTCAGGAGTTCAAGACCAGCCCGGCCAACATGGCGAAACCCCATGTCTACTAAAAATACAAAAAATTAGCCAGGCATGGTGGTGGCAGGTGCCTGTAATCCCAGCTACTCAGGAGGCTGAGGCAGGAGAATCGTTTGAACCCAGGAGGCAGAGGTTGCAGTGAGCCGAGATCACACCACTGCACTCCAACCTGGGTGACAGAGCAAGACTCCATCAAAAAAAAAAAAAAAATTAAAAATTAAAAAAAAAAGGATCTTTCTGTCTATTCATCAGTGAACCTAGGAATGCATTTTAAACTTTGCCCTTGGGTATTTTCCCTGTTGCAGATGAAGGCTATTGAGGCTATTTCTTCTTGCCGGCTTGCCTTCACACCTCCTTCAAAGGTAGTTTCTTTAAAATGTTTTATTAGAAACCTAAAGTTAAAACTTTTAGTTACTCCCAATTTTTACTGAGCCTTGAGCACTCTGCATTCACAGTTGAGGGTAGCTGCGCCTCCCACTGTCCCCACCGCGCAGAACTAGGATGTGGGTCCAGGTCCCAGCAACCCTGCACCCCAGTCCTAGAAGGTACTGCAGAATCCTTCCCTGCTTTGCCTTTATAGTTTTAAGTTGGGGACTCTCTTGAGTAGGCAGCAGAGAGCGCTGACATATATAATAGAATGTAGAATATAAAAAAGATAGAATTTCTGACAGTGCAGAATAAAAGGTGCTGAAAAAAATGGATGGTGAGTTAGAATAAAACAAAGTTGCATTCCTCACTTACTTTTTGCTTATATAAAAATCCAGGGCCATGCAAGGTGGCTCATGCCTATAATCCCAGCACTTCGGGAGGCTGAGGCGGATGGATCACCTGAGTTCAGTTCGAGACCAGCCAAAACAAAGCATTAAAAATTAAACCATAAAAGGATGAAAAGAAAATGTAATAGATTCTTCCAATAAACTGAACATGAGGAACTTAACTCCCCTTGCCCCCACTGACCTATGCTACAAGGTGGATAAGACTCACACTTTTAGCTAAGTGAAAGTAGCCAGAGACATAAAGTATGGACCACTGACATGAAATATCTAGAACAGGCAAATCTGTAGAGATAGACAGTAGATGAGTTGTTGCCCAGGGCTGGAATGGGTGTGGGGGCGGGGAGTTGGGGCTGAGAGCTAAGGGGTGCATGCAGGGGTTCCTTTTTGGAGTAATGAAAGTATTCTAAAATGTATTGTGATGATAAATGCATAACTCTGTTAATACACTAAAAGCAATTGGATTATACATTTTAAATGAGTGAACTCTATGCAGCGTGAATTATATCTTAGTATAACTGTTTTTTTTTTTTTAAAAAAAAAAAAAAAAAAGAATGAAGGAGCCAGGCGCGGTGGCTCATGCCTGTAATCCCAGCACTTTGGGAGGCCGAGGCAGGTGGATCGCCTGAGGTCAGGAGTTCGAAGACCAGCCTGGCCAACATGGTGAAATCCTGTCTCTACTAAAAATACAAAAATTAGCCGGGTGTGGTGGTATGCGCCTGTAGTCCCAGCCACTCTGGGAGGCTGAGGCAGAAGAATCGCTTGAACCTGGGAGGCAGAGGTTGCAGTGAGCTGAGATCGTGCCACTGCACTCCAGCCTAGGGGATAGAGCAAGACTGTCTCAAAAAAAAACAAAAACAAAAACAAAAAAGTAGATAAGTGAAATGAAAATGAAAACCATCCATTAGCCCTCTACCTAGAGGTAGTCACTATTGAAAATTTGACTTATGTCCCTTAGTTCTTTTTTTTTTTTTTTTGGGTCGGAGTCTTGCTTTGTCACCCAGGCTGGAGTGCAGTGGTGCAATCTCGGCTCACTGCAACCTCTGCCTTCCAGGTTCAAGCAATTCTCCTGCCTCAGCCTCCCAAGTAGCTGGAATTACAGGTGCCCACCACTGCACCTGGCTAATTTTTGTATTTTTAGTAGAGATGGGTTTTGCCATGTTGGCCAGGCTGGTCTTGAACTCCCAGCCTCATGTGATCTGCTGGCCTCAGCCTCCCAAAGTGCTGGGATTACAGGCATTAGCCACTGTGCCCGGCCTTACCTACATTTTCAAACTTTTTCTCTAATAAACAAATGTTACTTTGTCATTATTATTATTATTATTATTTCTGAGAAAGAGTCTTGCTCTGTTGCCGAGGCTGAAGTGCAGTGGTGTGATCTCAGCTCACTTCAACTTCCACCTCCCAGGTTCAAGCAATTCTCCTGCCTCAGCCTCCTGAATAGCTGAGATTACAGGTGCGTGCCACCACACCCGGCTAATTTTTGTATTTTTAGTAGAGACAGAGTTTCACCGTGTTGGCCAGGCTGCTCTCAAAACTCCTGACCTCGTGATCCACGTGCCTCGCTCCTGAAGTGCTGGGATTGCAGATGTGAACCACCGGGCCCAGCCTCTAATAAGCAAATGTTACATTAGAAGGAAAGAAGGCAGGCAGGAAGGACGGGAGGCAAGAAGGAAGGAAAAAAGGAAGGCAGGAGGGAAGGAAGAAAGGAAGGCAGGCAGGAAGGAAATATTTGGTTTCTTTTCCTAAGATGCAACAGGTGGAAACCATGATCTATGTCTGCTCATGGCTCCATGACCTCCTGCTCATTGTGTTGAAGAATGTTTCTTTTCCTTGGTTCTTACATGAGATTGGATTGGTTTCCATGTTAATTAAGAAGATGTTTGCTCTCTGAATGAGTTAACAACTTGTGAAGTCTTCATCTGACCTCCTGTAGTTCACCTGGAATTGCTCAGATCAAGTAGTGAAACTTTGGGATGATCCCCTGAAGTTCAGATCCCTTCGACTACTAAATATATTTAATCCCTCTTCTATGTGTAAGAATAATCTGCCGATCTATTACAAAAATCTATAAAGGATATCATTCCCCTCTCAAAGACCCTCTTACTCTGTCCTGCATTAAACTAGGCACTTCCAGCTTGGAGCCCAACTAGGTTTCCTATTGGAGATCTCAGTCTGATGGATGGCAGTCTAATCGGAATGATCCCTGTCCTCATGGAGCGCACAGTGCTGGGGAACATCCTGGGACTGCTGGGAATGCCAGTCAGGGAAGCAGGAGCCCAATCACCAAAGGCCAAGTCCCCAGGTCAACAGTTTGAACTCCTTCCTTTGGCAAGAGGGCAGGGAAGAGCCCTGTTGAGGGGTTTGAGGCAAAAAAGGCCTATTGATAGTTGAAAGACCACCTTGGCTACCAGGTAGGAAGGAATTTGTGTGGGAGAGCCTGGAGGCAGGGAGGGCGGCCCCTTAGTAGTTCCAGCCTTGAGGTCAGATTGCAGACACTACATGGTCATTGGCTGTAAGCCTCTAGTTCCTCCCACTAAGAATGCAGGACATCACAGAGCCATTCTCACAGCACTCCACGCCTTCTAACATTCTGCCTCAGGCTGCATTTACTACCACATCCCAGCTGGCTTAGGCCTGGGTCACCTGCTCAGCCCCAGCAGGTTGTGGATAAATCCCTATTTGAAGAGGTTCTTGTTTCTTTTTTTGACCCCTAATTTATTTCCTCATCTTTATTAAGGTATACTTGACAATTGGAAATCATATATATTTAAGGTATAGAATGTGATGACTCAACATACATTTACATTGTGAAACGATGGCTACAGTCAAGTTAATTAACACATCCCTCGCTTCCTACCGTTTCCATTTTGTGTGTGTGGTGATAACACTTTAGATCAACTCTCTTAGCAAATTTCAAGTATACAGTAGTGTATTGTTAACTATAGTCACATTGCTGTATATAAGATCCCCAGAACTTATTCATCCTGTTTAACTGAACTTTCCTACCCTTTGTGGATGTTTTGTTTTGTTTTGTTTTGTTTGTTTTTAGAGAGGAGGTCCCACTATGCTGCCCAGGCTGGCCTTGGACTCTTGGACTCAAGTGATTTTCCTGTCTCAGCCTTCCAAATAGCTGGGGTTATACGCATGAGCCACTGTGCCCATCTTCTTTGTACCCTTGGCCCAACATCTCTCCATTTCTGCCATCCTTGCCCCCGCCCTTGGCAACCACAATTCTACTCTCTGCTGCTGTTTGACTTTTTCAGATTCTACATTTAAGTGAGATCGTACAGTATGTGTCTTTCTATGCCTGGCTTATTTTATTTGGCCTGACACCCTCTAGGTTCATCTGTGTTGCTGAAAATGGCAGGCACAGCTCCAGCCTTCTGTGGCCACCTGAGGGGACTTCCAGCGTTTCCCAAGGTTCCGACTGTCCTAGGATACTCTCCAAGTACATTGTTTTGAGCAATGGCAGAGCCCAGGCTGCAACACTGGCTTACAAAAATTTGCCTGGTGGGGCCGGGCGCTGTGGCTCACGCCTGTAATCCCAGCACTTTAGGAGGCCGAGGCAAGTGGATCACGAGGTCAGGAGATCGAGACCATCCTGGCAAACACGGTAAAACCCCGTCTCTACTAAAAATACAAAAAAATTAGCCGGACATGGGGGCGGGTGCCTATAGTCCCAGCTACTCAGGTGGCTGAGGCAGGAGAAGGGCATGAATCCGAGGGGTGGAGCTTGCAGTGAGCTGAGATCACGCCACTGCACTCCAGCCTGGGTGACAGAGCAAGACTCTATCTCAAAAAAAAAAAAAATGAAAAATTTGCCTGGTGGAAGGTGAAGGCTTTCACTGCCATTCCAGGTGGAAAGGCCTCCAAGATGACTTAGAAAATTTCGTGTTGGACAGGCTTGTCCTAGGAGGCCCCAGCTTCAGCTTACAGGCCTCTACACGGCAGCTAGGACCATGGTGAGGGACGCTTCTAAATCTTTCCATAGGCTCAGAAAGAGAGGGATGCCCTCCCCAGATCTCCTCAGCAAGCTTGAGATGGTCCCTGCCTCCAAAGGGGACTTACAGTATTTCAGAAGGTTCACCTCTGAAGGGACCCCAGGTGGTACAGACATAGCCCAAGACCAGTGGTGTGCATTTATGACTTAAGGACAACCCTCCGGTTATCATCCTGAGATGGGACAGCCTTTGTGACAACCCTCCGGTTATCATCCTGAGATGGGACAGCCTTTGTGAGGGGAGAAACTCTCTTCAGTGTTGTATAAAGACATGACAATCGTCACCCTTGGAAAGAACAAAAGTAAAAATGGTGATGAATAACAATAGAAATGGTGATGATCATCGTAATGTAAAAGATAGTATTATTTTAAGATAATATAATAATATTTTAGGATAAGAATATTGAACTAGGGAGATGAAAAATAAATACATAAATGAATGATGGAAATACATAAATGAAGACGGAAAACAAATACATAAATCAATGTCAGGGGTCACCTCCAAGTGTCAGGGTTACACTCAGTTTAGGATTTATGTGTGTGTGTGTGTGTGTGTGTGTGTGTGTGTGTGTGCTTTCATGATTTCTTCATTCTCTGCATTGAGTGTATATGATTGCACTAATTGTTGAGGAAAGGCATATTTTCCAAAGCTATTTTAAATTGTTTGCTCTATTCTAGAGAAGGGAACCAAAATATCCCTCTCTAAAATCCTGGGGATTGGATGGCAGGATGGCAATTTACAAAGACAAAGGTCTTCTTGTCCTCCTCCCTGCCTTTTCCACCTAAAGACAAGGGCCTTCACAACATTAGCTTCTCAGCTGGGAGGCAGCAGCACCCAAGGACCTAGGAGCAGACTTTACTCTTTCCATAAATTTATCCTCCTGCATTTTCCTGCTTTTTGGAAGCCTGAAGATGCTGTCTTCTTTGTCTTATCATTATAGGATTTATGGCTCTTTGTTAAAATACTATTTGAGCAAGGTCCGAAGGCCACTGCCTTGAGAGAGAAATACTCTTGAACAAAGGCCTCTCCAGCGTTATGGGTACAGCGCATGTCAGTAGACTTCGCTGGTTTTTCCCTTTTTAATCTGGCTTTTGTTTTCAAGGGGGGTGTTTCAACTAAGAACCCATGAGGGAAAGAAAAGAAATTATATTTTCTCCCTTACAGTATTATGTTCAAAGAAAACAGCCAGCACCTTTAAGAAGAATTTCCCAACTGGATTCAGGCTAAGATGCTACCAACAGTTTGGCTGAGGGCTGCCTGAAGCTGAGGGTTGTCCTTCTGTCACAAGGTCAAGAAGGGCCTCCTGGCTGGGCCGGGTGGCTCACGCCTGTAATCCTAGCACTTTGGGAGGCCCAGGTGGGTGGATCACCTGAGCTCAGGAGTTCGAGACCAGCTTGGGAAATATGGCGAAACACCGTCTCTACTAAAAATACAAAAAATGAGCCAGGCATGGTGGTGCACACCTCTAATCCCAGGTACTGGGAAGGCTGAGGCATGAGAATCACTGGAACCTGGAAGGTGGAAGTACTGGAACCCAGAAGGTGGGTGACAGAGCAAGACTCTGTCTCAAAAAAAAAAGGACCTCATTCAAGTGGAACCAGGAGGGACAGAGATTGATTCCAGGGTTGTCTGCATCCTGACAAACTAACAGGGCTGGACCAGGCAGGAAGCTGGCTCTTCAGAATGAACATCCTGTGGAAGTTGACAATTAAAAGCCCAGACCTGGCCGGGCGTGGTGGCTCATGCCTGTAATCCCAGCACTTTGGGAGGCTGAAATGGGTGGATCACTTGAGGTCAGGAGTTCGAGGCCAGCATGGCCAATATGGTGAAACCCCATCTCTACTAAAAAATAAGAATAAAATAAAAGCCCAGACCTTCGCAAGTCTGAGGCAGAAGCTGAGCTCAGCTCCCACAAAGGGGCTACTGTCAGCCCAGGGCCACTGCCTTCAGGTCCCCTCAGCCTGTGACTGCTCCATCAAGGCCACCAAAATCCCACCTGAGGGCCTGGCGCAGTGGTTCACACCTGTAATCCCAGCACTTTGGGAGGCCGAGGAGGGCAGATCACTTGCACTCAGGAGTTCAAGACCAGCCTGAGCAAACAGTGAAACCATGTCTCTACTAAAAATACAAAATTGGCCGGGTATGGTGGCACACACCTATAATTCCAGCTATTTGGAAGGCTGAGGCAAGAATCGCTTGAACCTGGGAGGGGGAGGTTGCAGTGAGCTAAGATAACGCCACTGCACTCTAACCTGGGCAAAGTGAGACTATGTCTCAAAAAAAAAAAAAAAAAAAATCCCACCTGAGCCTCTCAATGATTCACTGAAGATGTTTATCTTCTGAGAGCTTCAGCATAAACTCTAATTTCCAGAGACACTTGTATTTGGATTTTGTTAAGTAGGTAGGAACACAACTGGAATGCCTACTGTGCCTAGACAGTTCTTTCTTTAAAAATCTTTATTTAGTTCTATATGAAATTTAAAGTAGTTTTTTCTAATTCTGTGAAGAAAGTCAATGGTAGCATGATGGGGATAGCATTGAAACTATAAATTACTTTGGTCAGTATGGCCATTTTCACGATATTGATTCTTCCTATCCATGAGCATGGAATGTTTTTCCATTTGTTTGTGTCCTCTCTTATTTCCTTGAGCAGTGGTGTGTAGTTCTCCTTGAAGAGGTCCTTCACATCCCTTTAAGTGGTATTCCGAAGTATTTTATTCTCTTTGTAGCAATTGTGAATGGGAGTTCACTCATGATTTGGCTCTCTGTTTGTCTGTTATTGGTGTATAGGAATGCTTGTGATTTTTGCACATTGATTTTGTATCCTGAGACTTTGCTGAAGTTGCTTATCAGCTTAAGGAGATTTGGGGTTGAGACGATGGGGTTTTCTAAATATACAATCATGTCATCTGCAAACAGAGACAATTTGACTTCCTGTCTTCCTATATGAGTACCCTTTATTTCTTTCTCTTGCCTGATTGCCCTGGCCAGAACTTCCAATACTATGTTAAATAGGAGTGGTGAGAGAGGGCATCGTTGTCCTGTGCTGGTTTTCAGAGGGAATGCTTCCAGTTTTTGCGCATTCAGTATGATTGGGTGGGTTTGTCATAAATAGCTCTTATTATTTTGAGACACATTCCATCAATACCTAGTTTATTGAGAGTTTTTAGCATGAAGGGGTGTTGAATTTTATTGAAGGCCTTTTCTGCATCTATTGAGATAATCATGTAGTTTTTGTCATTGGTTCTGTTTATGTGATGGATTGCGTTTATTGATTTGCATATGTTGAACCAGCCTTGCATCCCAGGGATGAAGCTAACTTGGTGATGGTGGATAAGCTTTTTGATGTGCTGCTGGGTTTGGTTTGCCAGTATTTTATTGGGGATTTTCACATCGATGTTAATCAGGGATATTGGCCTGAAATTCTCTTTTTTTGTTGTGTCTCTGCCAGGTTTTGATATCAGGATGACGCTGGCCTCATAAAATGAGTTAGGGAGGAGTCCCTCTTTTTCTATTGATTGGAATAGTTTCAGAAGGAGTGGTACCAACCCCTCTTTGTACCTCTGGTATAATTCGGCTGTGAATCCGTCTGGTCCTCATTTTTTTTTTTGGTTGGTAGGCTATTAATTACTGCCTCAATTTCAGAACTTGTTATTGGTCTGTTCAGGGATTCGACTTCTTCCTGGTTTAGTCTTGGGAGAGTATATGTGTCCAGGAATTTATCCATTTCTTCTAGACTTTCTAGTTTATTTGTGTAGAGGTGTTTATAGTATTCTCTGATGGTAGTTTATATTTCTGTGGGATCAGTGGTGATATCCCCTTTATCATTTTTTTTGCGTCTATTTGATTCTTCTCTCTTTTCTTCTTTATTAATCTGGCTGGTGTTCTATCTATTTTGTTAATCTTTTCAAAAAACCGGCTCCTGAGTTCATTGATTTTTTGAAGAGTTTTTCGTGTCTCTATCTCCTTCAGTTCTGCTCTCATCTTAGTTATTTCTTGTCTTCTGCTAGCTTTTGAATTTGTTTGCTCTTGCTTCTCTAGTTCTTTTAATTGTGACGTTAGGGTGTTGATTTTAGATCTTTCCCGCTTTCTCCTGTGGGCATTTACTGCTATAAATTTCCCTCTAAACACTGCTTTAGCTGTGTCCCAGAGATTCTCATACGTTGTGTCTTTGTTCTCGTTGGTTTCAAATAACTTATTTATTTCTGCCTTAATTTCATTATTTACCCAGTAGTCATTCAGCAGCAGGTTGTTCAGTTTCCATGTAGTTGTGTGGTTTTGAGTGAGTTTCTTAATCCTGAGTTTTAATTTGATTGCACTGTGGTCTGAGAGACTGTTTGTTATGGTTTGCTGAGGAGTGTTTTACTTCCAATTATGTGGTCAATTTTAGAATAAGTGTGATGTAGTGCTGAGAAGAAATGTATATTCTGATGATTTGGGGTGGAGAGTTCTGTAGATGTCTATTAGGTCCACTTGGTCCAGAGCTGAGTTCAAGTCCTGAATATCCTTCTTAACTTTCTGTCTCGTTGATCTGTCTAATATTGACAGTGGGGTGTTAAAGTCTCCTACTATTATTGTGTGGAAGTCTAAGTCTCTTTGTAGGTCTCTAAGAACTTGCTTTATGAACCTGGGTGCTCCTGTATTGGGTGCATATATATTTAGGATAGTTAGCTCTTCTTGTTGCATTGATCCCTTTACCTATGTAATGCCCTTCTTTGTCTTTTTTTATCTTTGTTGGTTTAAAGTCTGTTTTATCAGAGACTAGGATTGCAACCCCTGCTTTTTTTTTTCTTTCCATTTGCTTGGTAAATATTACTCCATCCCTTTATTTTGAGCCTATGTGTGTCTTTGCACATCAGATGGGTCTCCTGAATACAGCACAGTGATGCGTCTTGACTCTTTATCCCATTTGCCAGTCTGTGTCTTTTAACTGGGGCAATTAGCCCATATGGTAAAGATAACCCTAAGAAAAAAGAACAAAGCTGGAGGCATCATGCTACCTGACTTCAAACTATACTACAAGGCTACAGTAAACAAAACAGCATGGTACTTGTGCCAAAACAGATATATAGACCAATGGAACAGAACAGACGCCTCAGAAATAATGCCACACATCTACAACCATCTGATCTTTGACAAACCTGGCAAAAACAAGCAATGGGGAAAGGATTCCCTATTTAATAAATGGTGTTGGGAAAACTGGCTAGCCATATGCAGAAAACTGAAACTGGACCCCTTCCTTACACCTTACACAAAAATTAATTCAAGATGGATTAAAGACTTAAACATAAGACCTAAAACCATAAAAACGCTAGAAGAAAACCTAGGTAATACCATTCAGTACAGGCATGGGCAAGGACTTCATGACTAAAACACCAAAAGCAGTGGCAACAAAAGTCAAAATTGACAAATGGGATCTAACTAAACTAAAGAGCTTCTACACAGCAAAAGAAACTATCATCAAAGTGAACAGGCAACCTACAGAATGGGAGAACATTTTTGCAATGTATGCATCTAACAAAGGGCTAATATCCAGAATCTACAAGGAATTTAAACAAATTTACAAGAAAAAAACAAAAAACCCCATCAAAAAGTGGGCAAATGATATGAACAGACACTTCTCAAAAGAATACATTTATGCGACCAACAAACATATGAAAAAAAGCTCATCATCACTGGTCATTAGAAAAATGCAAATCAAAACCATAATGAGATACCATCTTATGCCAGTTAGAATGGCAGTCATTAAAAAGTCAGGAAACAACAGATGCTGGAGAGGATATGGAGAAATAGGAACGCTTTTACACTGTTGGTGGGAGTGTAAATTAGTTCAACTGTTGTGGAAGACAGTGTGGCAATTCCTCAAGGATCTAGAACTGGAAATACCATTTGACCCAGTGATCCCATTACTGGGTGTATACCCAAAGGATTATAAATCATTCTACTATAAATACACATGCACATGTATGTTTATTGAAGCACTATTCACAATAGCAAAGACTTGGAACCAACCCAAATGCCCATCAATGATAGACTGCATAAAGAAAATGTGGCACATATACACCATGGAATACCATGCAGCCATAAAAAAGGATGAGTTCATGTCCTTTGCAGGGACATGGATGAAGCTGAAAACCATCATTTTCAGCAAACTAACACAAGAACAGAAAACCAAACACCACATGTTCTCAGTCATAAGTGGGAGTTGAACAATGAGAACACATGGACACAGGGAGGGGAACATCACACACCAGGGCCCTGTCGGGCGGTGGGAGCCTAGGGGAGGGATAGCATTAGGAGAAATACCTAATGTAAGTGACAGGTTGATGGGTGCAGCAAACCACCACGGCACTTGTATACCTATGTAACAAACCTGCACATTCTGTACATGTATCCCAGAACTTAAAGTATAATAATAATAATAATAATAAATCTTTATTTAACCAATGTTCACAAGTAAATGTGAGATTGGAAATTCCAAGTGGTACACATTTCAGTATGTGCAGGTCAAACCCCTTTTGTGCAAGGCCACATTGCCCAACTCCAAGGGGCTCTGTGCCCATAGAATCTAATATACTGGTTTCCCCTAGAGCTGTGTGATATGTCAGCCCAGGTCTTGCAGTAGAACAACTTGGACCGCTCTTGACAAGGAAGGAATGCCTCCAGAAACTTCCCAATAGACTTTCACATCTCATTGACAGGAAGTGGCTCAGTTACCCACTGCTGCCTCATTGGCAAGCGGACTAGAATCCCAGGATAATTGAGCAAATCAGGATTGACACACTTGGGGATAGTGAGGTCCCAGCCCCTCCCTGAAGCACACAGCACCCCAATGCAGAGGGGGCAAATGACTGGGTCCCCAACAGCATCTGCCACACTTTGCTTCTGATCATCAGTTTCCAAAAAGATAGGTGTCCAGCATTGGCTGGAGAGCTCTGCAGAGTCAGGAGCATGGACTCTGGGGAGCTGTGAGCCCTCCACAGTCAACAGGAGAATGAATCCACAATTGTTGGAGAAAAGAGCTCACAACTGCCATTGGTTTCCCACAGTTAGGGCCTTTGCCAGGAGCCTCTCCCGCACCGGCTCAGGGCTGCCCCAGTGACCTGGCAGACAGGAGGCATCTGTGGAAGTAACATGGGAAGAATGCAGGCCTTCCAATTAGATGGGCCTGGAATCCTAGCTTTGCCATTGACTAGCTATGTGACCTTAGTAATGTCATTCAATTTCTGTAGGCTTCAGTTTCAAAATGGAGGGAATGACATCTACTTCATAAATTGCTATGAAGATTTTTTTCCTAGTCGGATGAAATCTCCAGCACAAAATAGGTTCTCACTCAATGATTCTTAAACGTTGGTGTTCTAAGAATCACCTGAGAGTCTTGGCCGGGTGCCGTGGCTCATGCCTGTAATCCTGGCACTTTGGGAGGCTGAGACAGGGGGATTGCTTGAGGCCAGGAGTTCGAGACCAGCCTGGCCAACGTGGCAAAATCCCGTCTCTACTAAAAAATATAAAAATTAGTCAGGTGTGGTGGCACGCACCTGTAATCCCAGCTACTCAGGAGGCTGAAACACAAGAATCACTGGAACCCAGGAGGTGGAGCTGCAATGAGCCGAGATTGTGCCACTGCACTCCAGTCTGGGTAACACAGCGAGACTCTGTCTCAAAAAACAACAACAACAACAAAAAAAAAAAAACAGAGAATCACATGTGAATCTAGTTAAACATGCGGATGCCTGGGCCTCCCACCCCAGACATTCTGCTTGCCTGCATCTGGGTCCAGGAATCTGCATTTTTAACAATGGCCCCCAGGTGATTCTGATGTAAATGATCACTGGCTGCACACTGAGCCACACTGCAGTAAACTGCTGCTGCTGCTGTTATCAGGCAAAACCTGAGCATGGCGGATATCTCATGCAACAAGAAAATTCATTTTAATTTTAATTATCTATCTATAATTAGCCTTGTTCCGTTAAAAATGATTAAGTCTGCAGTGCTTGAGGGACCCAATGGCTCACTGGTAAAAGCTGAATTCCATCAGCATTCTCCTTGCACAAATTCACCAAGTACACGAACCTCACGGCGGGAAGGCTTCCCCCAAGGAAGAAATGCAGCCTCCTCAACCTCTGCAGCCAAAATAAGACTCTTGCTAAAATTACTAAAGCATCGCATTTCCGGCGGAGAGCTTCCTTGCAAACTCCAATCTGGATTAATGAAGACTCAGGTCCCACCTGGCCCCATCATTCTGTCAATTCAACAGATTTCCTGGCCCAAGGAAAGTGCCCAGAAAAGCAAAGGTGAATCTCTCACTTCCCTCCCTTCCTCCCCTCACCACAACAACTGGCTCTGCTGGTGGCCTCAGGAGGATATAACACTATTTATTTCCTCTCTCCAGCCTCTTGGCCTCCAGCAGTAATAGCACTGCTAACTCGGAAATCTCTGCTGCTGCCTGTTATTGCAAAACTAGAATAGAAAACATTTTGCAGACAGTGTGACTTGGAACAAAAGAGCAGGGAAGAGAAGAAATCCCCCAGCCAGCATCTGAGAGTGAGGGCATGTAAGGGTGATGGACTGAGGAGAGGACAGGGGAAGAGTGTTTGGGAAGGAAGCTATTACGGGTTGGGAGAGGTTTGGGAAAGGAAAGGCAGAAGCAGCTGTGTTTGACTCTGTGTTCTGAACGCCACTGGGCTTCTCCTGCTTGGCTAAGAAAGATTTGGCAGCAGTCAGGGTCATGAAGACTCGCGGTCAAGTTGAGAGTGATCAGCTGTTCTTGTCCAAAAGGACAAACCAAGAGCAAAATGAAATGAAATGAGATGAGATGGGATGGGAAGACCTTTGGGTCAAGTCCAGTGGTTCCCAAACCTGGCCTGTTGTCAGAATCACTTGGAGTGCTGATTAAGACACCAATTCCCAGGCACCACTCTGACACTCTTCCCAGCAACTTGGATGATCGAGTGGATTTAGGAACCACAGGTGCAGCGGTTCAGGGGCTCCTGGCTGATGGTCTTTTGGGCCGATGGCATTTCTCCTGTAGATTCTTCAGAGTAGTTAATGGATTTTTCTACAATGCAATAATCACATTTGTAATGTGATTATTACATACGTAATGTACACATTACATTACACATATGTAACATACACATTACATTACACATATGTAATGTAATTTGTTCCTCACAGCCAAGGCCACTGTAAGCTCTCCCTGAGTCCTACAACTCTGACTTCTGGGGCCCTTACATCACGTCAAAGACAAAAACATATCCATGTCCCACCTTAAGTAGACTTTTATAATAATACTTTGAAATGTTTTTGTTGGTCTCAGTAACTCATTTAATTTAAGATTAACAGTCATTGCTTGGAGAGCATCTAGATACTCAGGAATTTTTTCAAAGTGGAAAAAAATTTAATCCACAGATAACTTGCTAATGTAATGAAAGTTCCAAAAGCCCTAAATTTAGTGACTGAATGAGTGGAACTATGATGTTATGTTTTTCAGATATTTAGTTAAATCCTCATTAATGTTAACTTTGAAGCTTTATTTGTATTTTCGGGTTTAGTTCTCTGTTTTAAATCTCAGTCAGTCATTTCTGTGAGCCTGTGGACAAGTCCGAGGCATGGTGACAGTACCATCTAATGGGCCAGACATCCCTGCCAACAAAGATGTTGTGAGATAATATCATTTTACAAGTAAGAAGCCCATTGGAGTTGATTTCAGAAGCCTGAGGCCTATGCAAAAAAAAAAAAACAAAAACAAAAACGGGGCTAGGCTTGAGAATGGAGACATCAAAGACCCAGTGTGTAATCAAAACAACAACAGATAAACAGAAAACTCCACAAGGCTCATTGTCTTTACCAAGATTTAATCATTTTACTTCAATAAATGCTCCTGGTATTATTGCAAACCTTTGGTTAATTTCCAGAGTTTTGAAAAAGTTCGTTTTGACCATTTTTTACAGTGTTCTTGTTGCTTTTATGGAGACAGGATTTTCAGAGGTCCTTGCACTGCCATTCCAAAGTGTTTCTCAGCATTACCTATTTTAATCATAAATAAGGCCAGGCATGGTGGCTCACACCTATAATCCCAGCACTTTGGGAGGCTGAGGCTGGTGGATCACTTGAGGTTAGGAATTCAAGACCAGCCTGGCCAACATGGTGAAACCCCGTCTCTACTGAAAATAAAAAAAAAATAGCCAGGCTTGGTGACGTATACCTATAGTCCCAGCTACTCGGGAGGCTGAGGCAGGAGAATCGTTTGAACCCAGGATGCAGAGGTTGCAGTGAGCTGAGACAGCACCACTGTACTCCAGCCTGGGTGATAGAGAGAGACTCTGTCTTAAAAAAAAAAAAAAGAAAAAATTATACATAAATCTTGTCCTTTTAAGAGTAAGTTGGAAAAGTGGTCATGAAAATTAAATGATGCATTGTATATAAAACAACTAATCTAATGCCTATAATATGGTAAATGCTTGATATTGAAGACAGCAGCTATTCTTTTTATATGATCATAATGCTCCCGGCCGGCCCTAAGCAGTTTAGTGGCTGAGTAGCTGAGTTGTAGAGCAGGGACGAGACCACCCATCTTCTGACTTTCAGCCAATGCCTCTGTGAATGCACCATCAGGCCCCATGACCTCACCGCAAATGAGCCATAGTTTAAGAGGCTCTTCTTGCCTCTTAAGTACATCATGCAATCTCCAGGTATAATCTTCAATATAATTTTAAGACATGACTCATGGAATGTATAATAAAATGTGTAAGATAATTTAATTCCAGTGATCATATGCAGATGAGTGGAGACAGCCATGAGCAGAAAGCACATTCATTTTCTCCTGCTCCCAGTATTTACTCAAATGCAATCAACTTCCCCCTGGAACCACTCTTTCTGACACCCTGACTCCTCACCCAGCCCTCTCACACCATGGAAGATGCATCTCCCCACCCTTGGAATTGAAAAGGCTTGCGACAGCCCCCCCAGCACTTCAGCCCTCACTGGAACCAACAGGGATGATGACAGCATTTTCCCGGTTCCCTCTGGACTTAGTCTTTCTTTCTTTCTTTCTTCATTTTTTTTTTTTTTTTTTTTGAGACGGAGTCTTGCTCTATTGGCAGGCTGGAATGCAGTGGCATGATCTCTGCTCACTGCAACCTCCGCCTGCCAGATTCAATCAATTCTCCTGCCTCAGCCTCCCGAGTAGCTGGGACTACAGGTGTGTGCCACCACACCCGGCTAGTTTTTGTATTTTCAGTACAGACAGGGTTTCACCATGTTGGCCAGGATGGTCTCGATCTCTTGACCTTGTGATCCACCCACCTCGGCCTCGCAAAGTGCTGGGATTACAAGGGTGAGCCACCACGCCTGGCCCTTTCTTTCTAACTTTAAGGAGGATGGAGACCTCTACAATAAGCAAAGGAAGAAGGGTAGATAGGAAAAGAGTATGTTTTGGAGTCAAGCAGAGCTAAATTCAAGGCCCAATTTTACTATTTACTGGCTGTGTGATTTGGGTAAGCTACAAATCTCCCTGAGCCTCTGTCACACTCATCTACAAAAGAGCAATAAAATCACCTTTTTTTTTTTTTGCTACGTTATTGTGAGATGTAGAAATTCTACATGTCAAGAACCTGGTATTCAAGAGGTGCCCAGTTAGTGGCAGTGATCGTCATCGTAATAGCCACGTGTTGATAAAGGCTGTGACACCAGCAGGGAAAGAAGTCACTCATGGCTACACTGAAAGTCCAGGCCTGGGTTTTTGTGTTTTGCTTTATTCTCTTCTCTCAAATCCAAACCTAATAAACTCCCCTGCAGGCATGGAACCCTTTTCCGTGTATTAAATGACATTGTTGTTGACCCCTCTGTAATTTGCGGAGCCAAGAAAAGAAGACTTGATCCTTCGTGGCCCTGTTTGATTTTAACCCAGGAAAAGTTGACTTGGAAAGTTTGGCATTTCCATTCTGCCCAGGGTGATTTTTCACCTTAAATTTCACTTTCCTGAGCCAAGAAAGAGCAAACCACTGAAAGACTTCATGTTTTTCTTCTTTTAATGAGCCCAAGGACGAGAATATGAAAGATTTACTTATAAAAGGGAAAAGCAGGTGAAAAATGCAGGCACAGTGTGTCCGTGGTCAGATGCCCATCCTGGCTTCTCAAACTGAGAACTGCTCCACCCCAAGAGCTCCTGAAAGTACTACCTGGATCCAAAATTGTCCTTCTTCTCTTCTCCAGTTATGTATGTGAAAGCATGGAAAGAAATAAATTTAGAGAAAAATTTTCAATCCTGTTGTGTAAACACATTACACAAATGCTGTTATTCTTCATTAAAATCTGCTATCCCTGGAATTTTGGTTCTCATATACATATTAACACAAAAAGACAAATATAGCATCCAAAACAGGAATCAGTAAAAAACATTTAGAATGTTGGAATTGATCAATGGCATCCTGCAGATAGAACTCCAGGAATCAAATGTCCTGGAAGTGACTTTTTTGTTGTTGTTAGGACTAGTCCAGTGGACCAATGGGAATACAAAAGGAACTGGAAGTTACTTAAAATTTACAATTAGTTATCCATTTCTGCATAATTCTTTTGTGAAGTCTTGCAACATGTGAAGAGCATTTTTCCTAAAAGTTGAGGTATTCAAAGATTGAGCTTGCATATATTTATGACACAACTTGTTTCCCCTTTAAAAAAAAAAACATTAAAATGTAAGTGTATGAAACAGTTAAGGTGGGCAGTCTGTAGCCTACAGGATGCTGGGCATAAAGTGGCTAACAGGTAATGATCCTGCGCTTCCATCGCCAGGCAGAAGACTTCTTTCTGTCCTTAAACATTAAGTATCAAGGGGCCGTATTTCTGCCCAATGGAGTACTCTGTTTTCAGGAAGTTACTCTTCCAGCCAAATGGAGAGCAACCAGACACCCTCCCATCCTTATCCTGGGGCAAGACAGAGATGGAGGGGGAGCCTGGCCGGAAAGAGAGGAAGGAGCCTTTGCAGGGGGCACAGAACAAGCAGCAGACATTTCTGCAGAGCTTTTTGGAAGGAGCCAGACTCTTACAATTAAAATCAGGAAAGACAGGCTGGGTGACAAGGCAAGACTTTGTCTCAAAACAACAAAAAAGTTAGGAAAGACTGTGATTTGAAGCATGAAGGCTGAGCAAGTATATTCTCTAAGACAGTGGTCCCCAGCCTTTTTGGCACCAGGGACCAGTTTTGTGGAAGGCTGTTTTTCCACAGGGTGGGTCGTGGGGTCAGAGGGTATGAAACTGTTCCACCTCAGATCATCAGGCATTAGATTCTCATAAGGAGCACACAACCTAGATCCTTCACATGCACAGTTCCCGATAGGATTCAAGCTCCCATGAGAATCTAATGGCGCAACTGATCTGACAGAAGGCAGAGCTCAGGCGGTAATGCTCACTTGTCCGCCGCTCACCTCCTGCTATGCAGCCTGGTTCCTAACAGGCCATGGACTGGTACAGGTCTGTGGCCCCGAGACTGAGGACCCCTGCTCAAAGACAAAGAATAAAAACCCACCTACAAGAAAGTAATGCCCCCACACAAACCAGAACAGAACGGAAGGGGCCAGAGGGACCTGGAAAAAGCATGTGGCTGTGTACATGCACACACAAACACACAAGATATTTTCACTGAATGAAAACAGTCTACTCTCTTAGCCATGCTTGACCAAATCATCTCTTGCAGGAATAGTTCACATTTTTTAAAAAGCACTTAAGGAACTGAGATATCAGAAGCACAGAGTAGAATTCAGTGATTATCAAACCGTGTGAGCAGTCAAGTTTTCTGTTCCATCTTCATTCATATCAGCTTGCCATAAGTACAGGAGTAAGTATGTTGTGAAGTTATTCTTCTATTAATTCTGGCAATCATTGTATTAACTACTCGTTCGAGGCATATTGCAATACTGACTCAACATAAGCTTATCTTCAAGTGATAAGGCAGCCTGGTGCTGTTACTAAGTGACACCTCGTCAACACTTGCTATCAAGAATTGCTCATAACAGAATTTGGTTAAATGTAATGTTTAATCATCATGAACTAAAAAACAAAGCAATGAAATTACTAATCCCATATAAAGTATATTTATGGAAAATATGAATTATTTTTATTCGTTTTAAATAAAACAATATTATTAATAATACCAAATGTTTATTGAGCCCCTATTATGTACTAAGCACTGTGCTGAGTAATTAATAGATGTTACCAATGTTAATCTTTACTAGGGCTCTTTGAGATGAGTTCTATTATTATTTTCCAATTAGGAAACTGAGTCTAAGAGAGGTTAAATAACTTGCCCATTGTCAAGCTGGTAAGAGACAGAGTTGAGATTTGAACCCAAGCAGTCTGAGAATTGAATCAAAACTCTTAAACATAGAACCAAATAAGAATTTTGTTCTTTATTCTGTTAAATACAAAACAACATCATCCATCATATTAAATTCATGTTATTAATCTGAATTTTATTAGTTTTTTCATTTTGTTTTTATAGCATTTGTAGATTTTTCTTGGTTTTATCACTGTATTAGATCTAACAGTATGAGGACTCTGTATCTAGTTTTAGTTTTGATCATATTTAAGTAATATAATAAAAAAGAATTTAGGTCAACATTGGATATCTATGATAAATATTTCCTTTAAAATGGGTCTATACCTTGTTTTACAAATGCCAATGTAAAATAAGAGAACTTCCCCTTACTTAAAACAAATTTATCTTCTGTCCAATATAACATTTTGACCACTAAAGAATATTTTACTCAGGCTGAGCATGGTGGCTCATGCTTGTAATCCAGCACTTTGGGAGGCCAAGGCGGGTGGGTCACAAGGTCAGCAGTTTGAGACCAGCCTGGCCAACATAGTGAAACCCCATCTCTACTAAAAATGCAAAAATTAGCAGGGCATGGTGGTACGCGCCTGTAGCCCCAGCTACTTGAGAGGCTGAGGCAAGAGAATCACTTGAACCTGAGAGGTGGAGGTTGCAGTGAGCCAAGATCATGCCACTGCACTCCAGCCTGGGCAACAGAGTGAGAATCTGTATCAAAAAAAAAAAAAAAAAAAGAATGTTTTACCTATAGCTGATAATTTATCTGATTTCTCATTTTCATTCTCAAACAGTCTTTTCTCCTGAGAGTTTAAGGAGCTGTGCAGAATATTTTCAATAAATTAATATGTTTCATTATAATATCAACATCCTAAGAGTTGGGAAGAGTTATTAAAATCACAGTAACAATAGCATGGCTCTCCATAGTATCTTTCCTCTCAATATTGAAAAATGCTTTCAGAGACATTATCTCAATTACCTTCTTACATCCTGAGGAAGTAGGTAGTGGAAAATCTCTGTCACAACCTCACAGAATCTAAAGTACAAAGAGGTTAAATAAAACTCACAAGAGAATTCATGTCAAGCAGTGAATTTTATATAGTCAATTACCTTTGGGTTCTAAATTAGATTTCACAACCCCAAGGGAACTCACATACTGATTCCGTGAAACCATCAGATGAAGAGGTCTCTGTCCCATGCATATCTGCTGTTCCCATGGTTAGACAGGGAGAGAGTTCGGGGAGATGGGTGATGGGGTGCAGTCAGGGTCTGGTTTGGCTCTTAGGTTTGAAACTTACTAGTCTGAGACCTTGGGAAAATTATTTACCTTTTGTGGGCCTCAGTTTCCTCATCTATAAAATGGGATGAGGAAACCTACCTCATGGAATCATTTTGATAATTAAGTAAGATATTACATGCCAGGGCTTGGCACTGACCTCACATAGAGTATATGCTGAAGTAATGGGAGTGATTACTGTATTACTGTCAGTAGTGGCAATTGTGCTAACTTTTTTTTTTTTTTTTTTTGAAACAGAGTCTTGCTCTGTCACCCAGGCTGAAGTGCAGTGGCATGATCTTGGCTACTGCAACCTCTGCCACCTGGGTTCAAGCAATTCTCCTGCCTCCACCTCCCGAGTAGCTGGGACTACAGCCACCACGCCTGGCTAATTTTTGTATTTTTAGTAAAGATGGGGTTTCACCATGTTGGCCAGGCTGGCCTCAAACTCCTGACCTCAGGTGATCCGCCTGCCTCAGCTTCCCAAAGTACTGGGATTACAGGCATAAGCCACCACACCCAGCCACTAACTCCTGCTAAGATGAAGGGTAGAAGAACTGATATGGCCAAAAAAGGAAATTAGGGGAAAAAAATTCCACTTACTATAACATCAAAAAGAATAAAATACTTAGGAATAAACTTAACTAAGGAGGTGGAAGACTTGTACACTGAAAACTACAAAACATTGATGAAAGAAATTATAGTAGGCACAAATAAATGGAAAGACAACCCATGTCCATGGATTGAAAGAGTTACCATTGTCAAAATGTCCATAACTACCCACAATGATCTATAAATTTAATGTAATCCCTATCAAAATTCCAATGCATTTTCTACAACAATAGAAAAAAATTTTTAAATTCATATGGAAATATAAAAGACCCTGAATACCCCAATCTATCTTGAAAAAGAACTCCAGCTGTGTTAGCTGGAGACATCGCACTTCCTAATTTCAAAATGTATTACAAAGTTCTGATAATTAAAACACTATGGTATTGGCATAAACACAGACATGTTGACCAAAAGACCAGAAATAAACCCATGCATATGCAGTTAACTGATATTCAATGAGGGTGCCAAGAATCCACAATGGAGAAAGGATAGTCTCTACAACAAATGGTGTTTTGTAAAACTGGATATCCACATGCAAATTGTATCCTTATCTTACACCATACACAAAAATCAATGCAAACAGATTAAAAACTTCAATGTAAAACCCAAAACTGTAAAACTCCTAGAAGAAAGATAGAGGAAAAGTTTTGTGGCATGGTCTTGGCAATGATTTCATAGATATGGCAACAAACGCAAACACAGACAAATGAGAATACATCCAACTAGAAAGCTTCTGCACAGCAAAGGAAATAATCAACAGAGTGAAGAGACAACCTGTTGAATGGGAGAAAATGTTTGCAAACCATATATCTGATAAAGGATTAATATCCAAAATATATAAGAGACTTCTACAACTCAACAGAAAAAAAAAAAACCCTAATAACGCAATTTAAAAATAGGCAAAGGACTTGAATAGACATTTCTCCAAGGAAGACATGCAAATGGCCAACGGGCATATGGAAAGATGTTCAATGCCACTAATCATCAGGGAAATGCAAATCAAAACCACAATGAGCTAGCACTTCACACCTGTTAGAATGACTGTTATTTTTTAAAAAATATAATAAGTGTTGGAGAGGATGTGAAGAAATTGGAAGGTTTGTATGCTGTTGGCAGGAATACAAAATGGTGCAGCCACTATGGAACATGGTATGGAGGTGTATTAGTCCATTTTCACACTGCTGATAAAGACGTACCCAAGACTGGGAAGAAAAAGAGGTTTCATTGGACTTACAGTTCCACATGGCTGGGGAGGCTAAGAATCATGGTGGGAGGTGAAAGGCACTTCTTACATGGGGGTGGCAAGAGAAAATGAGGAAGATGCTAAAGTAGAAACCCCTGATAAACCCATCAGATCTCGTGAGACTTATTCACTACCATGAGAACAGTATGGGGAAAACCACCCCCATGATTCAAATTATCTCCCACTGGGTCCCTCCCACAACACGTGGGAATTACAGGAGTATAGTTCAAGATGAGATTTGGGTGGGGACACAGAGCCAAACCATATCAGGAGGTTCTCAAAAAATTAAAACTAGAACTACTATATAATCTAGGAATTTAGTCTTTATCCAAAAAAATTAAAATCCGAATCTCAAATATTGTCATTCCCATGTTCATTGCAGCACCATTCACAATAGCCAAGATGTGGAAACAACCTAAATGTACAACAATGGGTAAAGAAAATGTGGTGTGTACATAAATGGAACACTATTCTGCCTTAGAAAAGAAGGAAATCCTGCAATGTGAGACAACATGGATGAGCCTTGGGAACATGATGCCAAGTGAAATAAGCCAGACACAGAAAGACAAATGCTGCATGATTCTACTTAACGGAGGTATCTAAAATATTTAAATTCATAGGAACAAAGAGCAGAATGGTGGTTGCCAAAGTCTGCAGGGAGGGGAAGTGGGAAATTATTATTCAATGAATATAGTTTCAGTTATACTAGATGAATAAGTTCTAGAGGTCTCCTGTACAACACAGTGCCTGTAGTTAACACTGTATTGTGCACTTAAAAAATTAACAGAGCCGGGATCCCAGCACTTTGGGAGGCCAAGGCGGGTGGATCACTTGAGGTCAGGAGTTCGAGACCAGCCTGGCCAACACGGTGAAACCTCGTCTCTACTAAAAACACAAAAATAAGCTGGGCATGGTGTCACATGCCTGTAATCCCAGCTGCTCTGGAGGTTAAGGCAGGAGAATCGCTGGAACCCAGGAGGCGGAGGTTGCAGTGAGCCGAGATTGCGTTACTGCACTCTAGTCTGGGTGACAGAGTGAGACTTTGTCTCAAAAAAAAAAAAATTAACAGGATTGAAGGGGTGGCCTGCCCCTCCACACCTGTGGTTGTTTCTCGTCGGGTGGGACGAGAGACTGAGAAAAGAAAGAGACACAGAGACAAAGTATAGAGAAAGAAAAGTGGGCCGAGGGGACTGGCACTCAGCATATGGAGGATCTGCGCAGGCACCAGTCTCTGAGTTCCCTCAGTATTTATTGATCATTATCTCTACCATCTCAGACAGGGGGATGTGGCAGGACAATAGGGTAATAGTGGGGAGAGGGTCAGCAGGAAAACATGTGGACAAATGTCTCTGTGTCATAAACAAGGTTAAGAAAAAGTGCTGGGCTTTGATGTGCACATACAAAAACATCTCGGTGCATTAAAGAGCAGTATTGCTGCCAGCATGTCTCACCTCCAGCCCTAAGATGTTTTTCTCCTATCTCAGTAGATGGAATATACAATCGGGTTTTACACCGAGACATTCCATTGCCCAGGGACGAACATGAGATAGATGCCTTCCTCTTATCTCAACTGCAAAGAAGCCTTCCTCTTCTACTAATCCTCCTCAGCACAGACCCTTTACGGGTGTCGGGCTGGGGGACGGTCACGTCTTTCCCTTCCCATGAGGCCATATTTCAGACTATCACATGGGGAGAAACCTTGGACAATACCTGGCTTTCCTAGGCAGAGGTCCCTGCGGCCTTCCGCAGTGTCTTGTGTCCCTGGGTACTTGAGATTAGGGAGTGGTGATGACTTTTAACAAGCATGCTGCCTTGAAGCATTTGTTTAACAAAGCACATCCTGCATAGCCCTAAATCCATTAAACCTTGAGTCGACACAGCCCATGTTTCTGCGAGCACAGGGTTGGGGGTAGGGTTACAGATTAACAGCATCTCAAGGCAGAAGAATTTTTCTTAGTACAGAACAAAATGGAGTCTCTTATGTCTACTTCTTTCTATATAGACAAAGTAACAGTCTGATCTCTCTTTCTTTTCTCCACACAGGATAGATCTTATGTTAAGTGTTCTTGCCATAGTTTTCTTTTTAGTGGCAAAAAAAAAAAAAAAAAAGAGGGAGTACAGCAGCTGTGAATAGAGATTATAGATAATTATGGATTCTTGTTTAGCATGCTTTCAGATTGAACTCATTATGGTCTAACCAAGGGGATTTAGTCTCATATAAAAAGAAGTTCACAGGTAGAGCAGTTTCAGGGCTAATTCAGTAACTCAAAAAGGTACTTCCATTTCTTCAAGGATCCAAGTTGTTTACATTTCTTCAGTCTACCAGACTCAATAGACTTATTTTGCCTCGGGCTGTTTCCTTTCATCATCACAAGGTGGTTGCCAAATCCCGAGATTAAAAACAGCCATGGTTAAGTCCAGAGAAGAACAAGGATCTGTGTCTTTTTTTTCCCTCTATTTTCAAAGGAAGAGAAAAAAATCTTTCCACAAGCCTCCAGATTTCCCCCAGTGTCTAATTGGCCAGAACAGGTCACATATTCCCTCCTAAGCCAGTCACTGGGACCACCATAATTGCCTGGGGTCATCAAGATTCTGCTTCTGTAACCGCCCAAGGGGTTCACCTTGCCCCGCTGCCTAGACAGAGCCAATTCATCAAGACACGGGAATTGCAATAGAGAAAGAGTAATATACGCAGAGCCGGCTGTATGGGAGACTGGAGTTTTATTATTACTCAAATCAGTCTCCCTGATCATTGGGGAGCAGAGTTTTTAAAGATAATTTGGTGGGTGGGGGAAAGCCAGTAAGCCAGGAGTACTGGTTGGTCAGAGATGAAATCATGGGGAGTCAAAGCTGTCTTGTGCTGAATCAGTTCCTAGGTGGGAGCCACAAGATCAGGTGAGCCAGTTTATTGATGGGGTGGTGCCAGCTGATCCATCAAGTGCAGGGTCTGCAAATATATCTCAAGCACTGATTTCTAGGAGCAGTTTAGGGAGGGTCAGAATCTTGTAGCCTCCAGCTGCACGACTCCTAAATCATAATTTCTAATCTTGTGGCTAATGTTAGTCCTACAAAGGCAATCTAGTCTCCAAGCAAGAAGGAGGTCTGCTTTGGCAAAGAGCTATTAGTGTCTTTGTTTAAACTATAAACTAAGTTTCTCCCAAAGTTAGTTCAGCTTACGCCCAGGAATGAACACAGACAGCTTGGAGGTGAGAAGCAAGATGCAGTCGGTTAAGTTAGATCTCTCTCACTGTCTCAGTCATAATTTTGCAAAGGCAGTTTCACTTCTAGGACAGAAAATGGGAAGCACAGATAGGATAGAAACCTGGACAAGAGGAGGATTCTACTGGAAGGAAGCAGTTGGGTGGCTGCATTTTTTGGATGCTTCCTGTTTTGAGACATAAAAGTGCTTTGTTGAAGGTGGGTCTGTCTGACGTGCGTCACACATTGTATGAACTGAGCAACATGCATGTTGTGAGCGTGGACATCAGCACGTCCTAAGTCTGCTCTGTGCCTCTGAGTTTCGAGAGCAAAATTTCTGAGTGAGGGCTCTCCCTCTCACCTGTGCAGCTATCACAACCTCAAAGCATCCAAGACTATGGTCGGAATAGCAGTGCAGGTGTTACAGGAAAGGGGTCCTGATCCAGATCCCAAGAGAGGGTTCTTGGATCTTGTGCAAGAAAGAATTCAGGGTGAGTCCATAGAATAAAGTGAAAGCAAGTGTATTAAGAAAGTAAAGGAATAAAGAATGGCTACTCCATAGACAGAGCAGCCCCGAGGGCTGCTGGTTGCCCATTTTTATGGTTGTTTCTTGATGATATGCTAAACAAGGGGTGAATCTCATGTCTCCCCTTTTTAGACCATGCAGGGTAACTTCCTGACATTGCCATGGCACTTGTAAACTGTCATGGTGCAGGTGGGAGTGTAGCAGTGAGGACGACCAGAGGTCACTCTCGTGGCCATCTTGGTCTTGGTGAGATAGGGCCGGCTTCTTTACTGCAACCTGCTTTATCAGCAAGGTCTTTATGACCTGCATCTTGTGCTGACCTCTTATCTCATCTTGTGACTTAGAATGCCTTAACAGTCTGGGAATGCAGCCCAGTAGGTCTCCGCCTCATTTTACCCAGCTCTGTATTCAAGATGGAGTTGCTCTGGTTCGCATGCCTCTGACACCGGGAGAAATTCTCCCTCTCAGCCATCTCTTTCCTAGTGGCCTCTCTCAGCATCATATGTTAGTCACTCCTCCCTTCCTGGTAGGGAAGAGAATGCCTCCGGGTTAGAAAAACACCAGCTGAGAGTTTATAGACATTTCTCTTTGAACATGTGGAACAACAAAGACTACTGATAGACTGTTGGGCATAATTTTAGAATTTGCCTTATTTTGTCAAAGATTAAAGAAAGAAAAGGCCACTTTCCCACTATTCGATTTAACTCAGTCGGATTATACGGTGACAATGTCACTCACTGATTTAAGCTTGAATGTGAGAGATTTAAAAGCAATGGCTTGAAAGGAGTTGTTTTGCATCTTAAAAGAAACCACGACTTCAGAGTGATTTTGATTTTCCATTCCTACAAAGGAAGAAACGAAGCTAAATGCTTTTAATCCTAAAAGTGCCCTTTCAGAATTTCTGGGATCACGGTTGCAAGGCAGAAGTGGAGAACTACCCATTGGATGCCTCTCCAGGAGTCACATCTGTCTCCTCAGACTTTGATCTTCTCAGACATTGCTGGAGAGGCAGGGACAGAAAGTTCAGATGCTACGGAAAGACAGTGTGGGTCAGACCACACAGTGTTCCTTTGAAACTCCTGGCTTACTGGCTTTCCCCCACCCACCCATCAAGTGTGTCCTTTGAGGTGAGACATAACATCAGCTGACTAACAAGATGTTTGCCAGTAATCACATCTGATGACAGTAAATGTCAGTCTCCCAACACAATTTCTATTTTATTTCATTAATACCATCCTCAGTGGTTTGCTTGAAAGGGTTAAATTAGCTAGGCATGGTGGCTCATGCCTGTAATCCCTACACTTTGGGAGGCTGAGGTAAGCAGATCACTTGAGGTCAGGAGTTCAAGACCAGCCTGGGCAACATGGTGAAACCCTGTCTCTACAAAAAATACAAAAATTGGCTGGGCGTGGTGGCAAGTGCCTGTAGACCCAAGTACTTGGGGGGCTGAGGCAGGAGGATTGCTTGAACCCAGGAGGTGGAGGTTGCAGTGAGCTGTGATTGTTCCTCTGCACTCTGCACTCTAGCTGGGCAACAGAGTGAGACTCTGTCTAAAAAAAAAAAAAGAGTTAAATTGGAAAATGTATGTCTTGGTGCTCTGTAAATTGCGAAGCTCTACATAAGTATGATTCCCTGTCTTTATAAATTTGCAATCTGGTGTGCCATGTCTGGGGACAATAACTCCTTCATTGCTCCAGGCACAGAGTTCTGGATTGAGGTCCTGGCTTCTGCTTCTCCAAGATTATCCAAATTTCTTGCTCCTTGAAGGTGGACTTTGAGGACCAGCATCACTTGTGTACCCCATAGCTTCTAATGCAGCAAGCAGGGAATAGACACTCCAGCAAGCAAGTGAATAAGCAAAGAAAACCAGGCCCCCGAGACGCAGGCGGATCCCCAGGCGGATCCCCAGAGGCAACAGAGTCAAATATGCGGGAAAGAATCTGATTCCGGCCAGCAGAGGGCAGGAGCGAGAGGAAACTGGGCATCTCAGCAACAAAGCAGGCTGTGCCAACCTGCGGCCGAGGGCCAGATCGCAAGCCCCGGTGCAGAGAGGACGCCGGGAGAATCCAGCTAATTCTGACAGCCTTTCCCTTGGACTTTAGCTGTAATGTGTGTGTGTTCCATTATCTCACACATCACTGCACTGAATTCCACTTCAACTTCCACCCCCTCCCCCCACCAGGAGCTGGCAGTTAAGATATTTACCAAGATGGTGCTGCCTCTCTAGTAAAACTCAGGAGGATTAAAATAATAATAAACAAACCGAGAGAGGGAGTCCAGAAAAGTGGACTAGGAAGCACAACACAGAAGCAGCTTCAGCACTGGAAAATATTCAGTCGTAAGAATCACCATGCATTCCCTCAGTGCTTGGCAGCCACTTTCTCACTTGAGCCCCATACTCTTTGTATGAGGTATGGGGTGGCTACTTGTGGAGTGCTGTGTCTAAGTCACCCTGCATGGGAGAGGCAGCACCAGGATTCTAACTCAGGATCCTGGGGCCTTATCCACGGCACTCTGTTACCGGGGACACGCTCATTCACTCAACAAACCTTCACGGACTGCCCATCAGTTCTTGTGCCAGGTATACAGAAGGGAAGGACACGGTCCTGTCCTCCAAGAGCTCATCCTCCAAAAGAGCATGGATACTAATAAACAGTCACAGTTTGGTATGACATGGCCATGACAGAGAAGAGTCACCCAACGCAAACTGGGAGGGCCAGTGAACATTTCCAGGAGGAAGTGACAGAAGTTGCCCTGCTGATGACCTCAGTGGCACCATTCATTTTATCACTATGTACCAGAAAATTGTCATAATCTACAGTGACCTCAGATGTGCACAGGGCACCCTCCACCTCTTTGCAATGCCCCTTGCACAGCCATACTGGGAAGCTTGCAGCTGAACCAAGCTTTGAAGGATGACTAGGAGCAGGCAATCAAAGAAAGGAATAGGGGCTAGGGCTGGCGTCGGGTGGAGGGATTCTGGGTGAAGGGGTTGGCACCAGCATAGGGGGTAGGCCTGAGAAATGTCCCCACAGCTGGAGCGTAGGTCTCAGGAGGAATGGTAACAAGAAGACTAAGAAGCAGATGGGGAGGCCAGGAGTTTGAGGAGCTTGGGCAACATAGCAGGACCTCGTCTCCACAAAAAGAAATTAAAAATTAGCCGGCCATGGTGGTGCATGCCTGTAGTCCCACTTACTCAGGAGGCTGAGGCAGGAGGATCACTTGAGCCCAGGAGTTCAAAGTTACAGTGAGGTGTGATCTCACTGCTGCACTCCAGCCTCCAAGGTCTTCAGAGCAAGACCCTATCAAAAAAGAAAAGAAAAGAAAGAAGAAAGGAAGGAAGGAAAGAAGGAAAGAGAAAGAGAGAAAGAAAGAAAGAAAAAAGAGAGGAAGGAAGGAAAAAGAAAAGAAAGAAAAAAGAAGCAGATGAGGCCAGGTCACCTAAAAGGCCTTTTCTACCATGCCAAGGAGGCTAGATGTTACATGGAATGCTATGAGGGTCTTTGGGAGAATATTATACAGGGAAATGGCAATATCATAAATGTGATTTCAGAAATATCATTACTCTAGCAGCATGGAGAATGGATTCGAGAGCGGCAAGTCTGGGGATAGGAGAGCAGTGAGGAGCTTCCCGATGATCCCAGAGCAAAATGACAAGGGCCTGGGGAAAAGACACTCTTGGTGGGGGCAGAGGAAGGGGAGGCTTCCGGAGTTGGGCAGGA
Source organism: Homo sapiens (assembly GCF_000001405.40). Lineage (NCBI taxonomy): Eukaryota > Metazoa > Chordata > Mammalia > Primates > Hominidae > Homo > Homo sapiens. The sequence continues at coordinate 157,758,588 of NC_000006.12, forward strand.
AGAAGAACAGATCAAATCTACCAACTAAACAATGGTAAGTGGGAGAGGTCAGGGGTAAGGATGACTGAAGGCTCTGGCTGGGGTCACTGGGCACATGGTGACACCATGTCCCCTGGATAAGCCCCATGAGGGTGGGACTGTGGCTGAGTCACAGCTGTATGGTCAGCACGTGTAGTGACTAGCAGGTAATGGGTGTCTGAGAAGTATTTATGGGGTGAACGCTAGCATGGATGCCTGCGTGAGCAAGACAGGTAGGGATGATGGAACCTGTTGAGTAGGAGACGCCTGAGAGATGGTCACAGGAAGCTGTGCAGCAGGAAGTTGCACAGATGAGACCTGAGTTCAACAGGGAGACCTGAACTGAAGGCAGGGATCTGGGAAGCAGCGGCATTCACGTTCCCAGTGAGGACAGTGGAAGAAGACCTCAGGTCCTGAAAAACACCAACAGCTGAAGGGCCAGCAGAGGAACCTGTGCCCTCAGAGAAGGTTTAAAATCATAGCAAGGAACAATGATGGTGTTGAGAGTTTCAAAAGACAGGAGTCTCTGGGAGGCCAAGTAGAATAAGGAGTGAAATTTACCTATTGAATTTGGCAACCTGGACGTCAGAAGTCACACGGCCCTGGCTGGTAGGAATTCTGAGTCATGCAGGCTGCGGGCAGGGGACCATGACATCTAGCTGAAGCCATGCAAAGATGGGGCCTGAGAGCCAAACCAGGCTGTGACATGCTAGAGCTGGCCCTGATGGGCCCAGGAGCACTCATGGTTAAATTTTCAGGAAATTTGCAAGCTGGTTGTTAAACACAGCCATTATTAAAAATTAAATGGGTCAGGCGCAGTGGTTTATGCCTGTAATCCCAACACTTTGGGAGGCTGAGGCTGGTGGATCACTTGAGGTCAGGAGTTTGAGGTCAGCATGGCCAATATGGTGAAACCCTGTCTCTAGTAAAAATACAAAAATTAGCTGGGCATGGTGGCGGGCGCCTGTAGTCCCAGCTACTCAAGAGGCTGAGGTGTGAGCTTTGAGTCCAGGTGGTTGAGGCTGAAGTGAGCCATGATCATGCCACTGCACTCTAGCCTGGGCAACAGAGGGAGACCCTGTCTCCAAATAAATATAGAAATAAATAAGAAAAATAAATAAAAGTTTAATGATATAAACTTACAAATTGAATAGATTATACTAAAAACAAAAGTAATAAACACTTAAAGCTCATCACTTCCTAGTGATCTACACTTTACTATTACCTATGCCATCAAAGTTTGTTTTTTTTGTTTGTTTGTTTGTTTTTTGTTTTCTTTTTTAGATGGAGTCTTGCTGTGTTTCCCAGCTGGAGTACAGTGGTGTGAACTTGGCTCACTGCAACTTCCACCTCCCAGGTTCAAGCAATTCCCCTGCCTCAGCCTCCCGAGTAGCTGGGACTACAGGCGTGCACCACCACACTGGCTAATTTTTTTTATCTTTTTTTCAGTAGAGATGGGGTTTCACCATGTTGGCCAGGATGGTCTCAATCTCCTGACCTCGTGATCTGCCCACCTTGGCCTCCCAAAATGCTGGGATTACAGGCGTGAGCCACCACGCCCGGGCCATCAAGGTTATTTACATCTGCGTGTCTGAGTGGAGGAAGCATTATATAACCCTGTTCTGCTGCACATCTCTTTCCACCTCTGCGTTCAGTGACTTCTTACTGACAGCTGGAAATTGGCCATGGGGGCAGTATTTACACCACAGAAATTGGCAAATGTACATTTCAGGACTCTTCTTCCAGAGAGCCTGTTGTGCACATTTACTAGCACACCATTAAAACCAGGCCACAGGGTGTCACCATCCACATTTCTCCCCCAGAGAGTGTCCAAAGGTTCAAATCGCAAAGTAGGGAGCTCAAGTCTGAGCCAGAGTGGCCTCTATCTCAATCAGTCTGGTGAGGCTGGTATAGCAGAGCTGGGGTGACAGCCAAGCGTTTAGACAAGGACAGTTCTTAGCCTCAGGAGATGCCAGTGTCACAGCTTCAGATAGCTCTCTGTCCAGGTGCAGGTGCAGGACCAGCCAGTGAGGGTACAGAGGATATGGGGACTGGGAGGAAGTAGTTTCCGGTTGCCTGACCTGACATTCAGGGCTGGATTTGAGGCCCAGAAGAAATCTAGGATCAGGGCAGACGCCAGCTGGTGGCCTGGTCACCTACACTGGCCTGGGTGGGGACAGGGAGTTGCACAGACTGACTCCCTTCCTACTCCCTCATGGAGAAGGGTCTTCAACACCTTTGCAGGTCCTTCCCATTGCCCCAGGCCTGGCTGATGCAAGCAGGTAGGGAGCGAGAGGGCAGGCTGGGGAAGGCAGTGTCTGGCAACACAGCCGGGGGAAAAGAGATTTATTTTACAACAACAACAAGAAGACTAATAAAAATAATTTTGAAAAAATCTGATGGATAACATGAATCACCCTCGTATGAATCACTAGTTACACTTGGTGGTGTACCAAGGAGAAGGAGAGAGCTGTGGGAGTCAGGGTGCATTGTCTGCAGAGAATTTAAAAATAGGAAGAAAAACACTGCAGTGGTCTGCTTTCTATTATCGCCATGTGTGGCGATTGTAAACAATGGCAGACCCACCCCCACACCACTGGTTACACCCCAGACATGCATTTTTGCCTGTGTTCTAGGTAATCAGTTGATTGTATTAGAACAGCTGACACATTCTTCTTTAGTTCCTTTTTGTGGCATTAGTTTCATAGAATCACTTATTTTGGGGGAATTGGAGGCATGTCTTGTTTTTCCATTCAGACAACAACATGTATCAAGCGGTCTATGATGTGCTGTCTGTCAGTTGCACTTGGAGTTCAAGAGCATTCTTAAAGACGCAATTTGTGTTTTGGAAAAATGGGTAGAGAGCCTTGTTTTGTGTGTGCGGTCAAATAAGTCAGAAGTTGGTTATGAGTCACCACTCTCCTGCTAGTCTAGCATTGTACCCTGCACAGCAAAAAGGGGTTGTAAGCATTAAAAGGGGGCTTTTGAAAAAGCACAGGATATGGAAAGGCGGCCTAGAAGCAAGTTCTGGTGCACGTGAACCGTGTGACCTCAGAAGCCGCATCCCACTGAGCTGTTCTGAGCCTCGGTTTCTCCATTGGTAGAATGGGGCTAATAGTACCTGACCAGCTGTTCCCAGGCTACCGCCAAGGGCCCGTGGAAGCAGGTGCAGGAAGGGATGACGCACACGTGAGCTCTTAAGACAGCTTCAGTTCCTCAGGATTCAAGAAGGGGGAAGGAGAGCCCAGGGCCAGCACATCTGGGGAGGTTCAATATAGATTTAGGTCTGGAATTTCCATTTTCACTGCAGATATGTTGTGCTGAGAAAAGTTCGAGGGCATCAGAATGAAAATTGGAACTTGAGAAACTGGATGAACGTCGCAGCAGGAAGGGAGCCGGGCTGGAGCTCTCTGGAGTGGGGCGCACCGCAGGGAGCACGGCCAGAAGATGGGAGAGGTCACAGGTGGGGCCGTGCCTCTCACAAGCTCAGGGTGCCCTGTGGGGCCGGGAGGGGCAGAGTACAAGCTCAGGGTGCCCTGTGGGGCCGGGAGGGGCAGAGTAGGTCTAGAAGCCGCTCTGGGGGCAGTGCCCCCACCATCACCTGCCAACTGGCAGATCTGATTGTAGCCAGAAGCCTCTTCTCTTTTCACTGGGTTCGTTGCAGTTTTCAAGCGTGCAGTTCCTTCTATGAAGGAAGGTGGTAGAAAGCCTATGAATCCCACCAAAGCTTCCAAAGCAGATGGCCCTGTGGCCTATTTCTGGTTCATTGCTGTAGGGGAGGAAAGATAATTTTTTCTTCGGCTCTCATAAATTCTTAGTTGGAATGTACCCCTGTAACAAAAGACAGGTTAACAGGAGAAAAACAAAAAGAAGTTTAGTATCATGTATATTTAATATGCACATGGAACAAACAGAAGTTTAGTATCATGTGTATTTAATATGCACATGGAAGATACCAGGGAGAGATGCCTTTGAATTCCAGCTTAGACAGTATCTTCAACAAAGAACAGCTAATATTTAGAGAAGTGACAAGGAAAAGGAAAAGGAAAAGGACTCTGAAGAGTGTCCCGGAGCCCGCTGTGGCTAGGGAGGATGCAGTGGGGGTTGGGGGAAGTATTTTTTAAAATATTTTAAAAATAAAAGCAGAAAAGGATTTCGAGTCTCTAGGGGGCAGCAACTTGGGGAGAAGCAAACAACTGGCAGAGGAAGGCTGCTCGGTGAGGCTTGCCCATGTGGGTTCCTCCAGTACCATCTCCAGGCTGACAGGGTTTGAAATTGTCTTCCGTGGTTAACCTTTGTTCTCCCTGGTGGAAGGGGGACAGGACACCTTTTGTCTTTGTGCCCCGCTTTAGGCAAATAGAGCGAGGGCAGAGAGCTCTCCTGCATCTGCTTTTTAATGGCCTTCAGCTCAACAATCCTTATGCATATTTGGGGGTTGCATATTCTCCTCTTCCAAGCTACACAGATTATACGTCTCAATGTAAAACACGATCTTTTTCTTCATTACCTAGAAAGTGAGGGAAGTCACGCCCAGAGGGTGCTGATGTAGGCCTGGTGATGAGGGTATAGGTGGCCACCGTCCCAGGTGGGCTCCACCTCTGCCCTCTGTGATGTGGAGTAGGGGCTGGGGCTCCTTGGGTACAAGGCAGGGAAAAGGGGAGGGCGGCGGGGTTGAGGAAGCTGCTCCGGGCTTCCAGGCCAGACCATCCCAGAATGAAAGGAGTTTTCCCCATGGATCTCCAGGCCTTCTCCATGGAATTTAGACAGCTGAAGGCAGACACAGGTCCCTGCGGGGAAGTACCTGCTCCCTCTTCTAACAAGTGCAAAGCAAGCAGGGCAAGGCTCCGAAGGGAACAGCTGGAGCAGGCCCAACCCCAGGTGGCCCTGGGGTTCCGTGGTTGACCCGGAAGCAAGTCAGGCAGGGAGCCAGGAATGTGGTGACTCACATTAGCTATGTGGAGAGAGACCAGGGAGTGTCCCTTCCAGGTGGAACCCCTCCTCCTCCATGAGTCACCCGGCTCCATACACCTGCCTGATTCCAGCAGCCCAACACACCTGTGCCAACTAGCAGCTTATGTTTCTCATGTGCTTGCCTGTCTGTCCTATTGACGATTCCTCAAAACACCAAGGGGAGGTAGCATGAAATGTTATCCTGGAAAACCTTTGTGAGTTAGAAAACGTGGCCAAGTGCCCCCAGTTGATGACTGGCAAATCTAGAATCAGCCTCATGACGTTTCCAGTGTGTTACACAAACCATCCAGCCTTGCTGCTTCTCCAAATACTGTATCTATGAAGTATGCCAGACTCTCAGCAGAGAGGATTTCTACGGCAGTGGAAGAGAGCAAAGCAGGTGTCAAGGTTCATTAATCTCATCTTGGTCCCTTTCTGAAAACTGACACACTATATCCAGGTTGCTTTTTAAAGCTCTGTGTACGTATCATGCAAATGTATACTTGCTTTGTGTATGCATGTTTAGGACTATTTCTGATCCAGATGCTGTACTAAATTAAGCTAGTTTTAATGATGTTATTCTGGAGCTAACATAGTCTTCCGTGGTATTTCCCATGGCTGTGCTCTGTCTAGTATATTTCCAAGTCATTACCCGGCTCATGGTCATTGGCGTTCACATTGAAGTGGCCACAGATAGAGAATCACACAAGCTTCACATTGAATTCAGTCCATTAAGGCCTTTTCCTTGGTAAAACTGAGGGGGAAATATAAATTGAAGCAGCAGTAACCAGCAAATAGACCTTCTCCCAATCTACCCGAAACTGGCTCTCTGCCCTCAACCATGTTCAAAAGCCTTTGCTATAAATGTACAGAGGAAGTAAACTTTAACCACACTGGGGCTCTAAAAAATGACTCTGGTTTCTGTATGTGACTTTCATAAATCAGTTTAATTACGTCACATTTCCACCTCAATTGTATGATAACAAGGTCTGAATTGCCCAGTAGAAGGCAGAAAGAAAAAAAATCCGGATGTTTTTGTCATATGGAACCTTCCTACACAGTCTGTTTTTCCCCTGGAGCTGACGATGAATCACTTCTCAACACTGGCGGGGGCCATCACGTGGCCGGCATGGAGCTCGCCTGGAGGAGCGAGGTTGAGGCAAGCTCTGTGCAGGAATGTGGCTGCAGTGATGTGGCCTGACACTTCCTTAGGGAGTCCAAATGTGACTAAGGCTCTTTCTCAGTACTGTATGGAATGAATAACCACATGTGAGAAGATGTACAGCTCCTGCCTTGCATCACTGAGCTGGAAAATTTGCTGGTAGCACGTAACATCTCTTGCAAAGTATAATTACAGATCCCTGTGCTCTGAGGGTTTGCACGGAAATAATTCAACCTAAAATAGTAACAAAGGCTGAGTATAAACCTGTGATGTATTATTTTGGTGCAAAAGTAACTGCGGTTTTTACCATTACTTTTAATGGCAAAGATTGCAATTACTTTTGTGCCAACCTAATAGATTATCTAAAAAGGAACAGGAAGAACACCAAGAGTTAACAAGCCTATTAGGGTTAGAAAGAGACTCCTCTTGCTTAGACAATGGGCGTTACCCTCAGGGACACCGAGCCCTTCCACTCGGATCTGATCTCCTCCACAAAGAGTTAGATGGGAGATATTTATGGGCAAGTATTTGGGCATGGATATTCCCGCTCCCACCACATTGCAGAGGTGCATGGAGGCACACAGCTATGACTGTGGGGGCTTCGGGTGTTCATTTTGAAATATATTTGTTTTTTTTTGTTTGTTTGTTTGTTTTCTGAGACGGAGTCTCGCTCTGTCGCCCAGGCTGGAGTGCAGTGGCGCGATCTCGGCTCACTGCAAGCTCCGCCTCCCAGGTTCACGCCATTCTCCTGCCTCAGCCTCCCAAGTAGCTGGGACTACAGGCGCCCGCCACCACGCCTGGCTAATTTTTTGTATTTTTAGTAGAGACGGGGTTTCACCATGTTAGCCAGGATGGTCTCGATCTCCTGACCTCGTGATCCGCCCGCCTCGGCCTCCCAAAGTGCTGGGATTACAGGCGTAGGCCACCGCGCCCCGCCTGAAATGTATTTGTTTTGTTTTATCATTTGAGCGTAGTTTAGTAATTTTCCAGAGAGAGAGGACCTGGCATAGATTCAGCAGTGTCACCCTCAAGAGCCAAAATGTTCACATCTGCTAATGTTCCATCCTGACCCTCCTGCTGTAATATTTATTCACAGGGGAGCTTTGGAAACAAGTAGGGTATGAGTCAGGAAAGCCTCTCCGTGCAGACTCCTTTGCACCAAAAATCTTCTAAAAGGTCTTGGGTCCATGAGCATTGTTGTCTGGGAGCACGTTTCCCCACCAAATTATCCTTAAAAAAAATCTTTTAAAAACAGCTCATTGTCATCAAGACAATATTTACAGCACACACATATTTTCCAGAAGATTTTAATAAATAGTTGGTGAACTATCTTGTCACTAACTTAGTCCCTGCTTAACTTTGTCTGGGTGTGAGTATGATGCTTCATTTTAACTTGTTTTGAATTCAGACACCTGGACACAACAATGGACACCTACTGAGTCCTCCGTCCACTCACAATGATTCCCAGCTCTCTGGTAACTCTGGTCCCCCATTTCAAAGGGATGAACTTGTCACAGGTCACCTGCCTCCTGTCTATAATATTGTGGACCAGGATGGCGACCTTACCCAGACTTAGCCACTCACTGGCGCTTCCCCTGGAATATAAAATGGAACAAAGAAATCTTTCCTATTGCTGGACTCAAAATGTGTAACTTGGTGCTCCCCAGACCATGTTCCGTGCTCCCCACCTTGCACTGAGGTGCGTGGAAGTTGGCCTACAGCAACGAGAGACAGAGCCCTGAAAGCTTCTCAGACTTCAGTCCTGCCCTTCCACAAGCTCTGCGGAGGCCCAGTCCTGCTTCTACTGGACACTTCTCAGGTATTACATTTTTCTTGTTTGCTTAACTCTGGATGATTGTACCCCATAGAACCAAAAGATTCCTAACTACTATCTTGGAATCCCATCCTTCTGTGGGGCTCGGGATGCCAGCTGATTGGACAAGCCTTGTGGCTTCTCTCAGGCACTGACTCTGAGTTCTGTATGAGGGGCTTCTGGACACTTGGGTGTGAAATCTGGCCCATTGATTCTAAGGATGTGTAATCACTGAAACCTGTACCCCCAATAAATCTTTGTTTCCTCAACTGTAAAATGAGAGAAACTTTTTTGAAAATGTGAATATGATAAAGTGCAAAATGCTTGGACATTGGGGTTAGCCTTGGGATAAAGCCACGTTCAGGGTCTCAGTTTCCTCATTGGGTTGTTTTGAAAATTAGAAATATATATAGGTAAATGTACCCAGTATGTGACAAGTACTAAATGAAAGGTACTTTTATTGTTACTATTACTAATTACTCCTTCAACTGTTACTAGCGCTGCTTCTCCTCCTTGACCTAATGAATGTGAAAGCTCTTTGTCATCTATAAATGTCAGTTCCCCAATAAAGACATACTCAGAGGATCTGCCTTCAATATGAAGCTGCCTCTGACTGTCTCATCTTTGGTACTCAGCTGGAGGTATTTCGCTTGCTGGCACTTTAACTCCCCTGCTCTGAGCGGTTGAGCTAGCACAAGGGCCATACAGAAGTAGAAACAGACTTTCTTTTCTCTGTCTTTGAATAAGAAAAGATGAAGCAAAGCCATGATGGGAATGCTGTCAACGCTGGTGACAGTGAGGCCTGGACGCCTGTCCTCAGGCCACTTCACTGCTCCGAGTTTTCTCATCTGTAGAGCCAGGATGATGGCAGCACCTACCTCATGGGGTCATTAGAAAGACTGAGGGTAGTATGTGGAAAGTGGGGCCCGACACAAATTATTTTCATGGCGACCCTCTAGCAGCCATGAAGTCTGTCCCTGCATTATCGCGAACCTTCCATGTGTTTTTCCTCAATCAGCAATTTTCCTACTAGGTCATCATTTTGGGAAAGAGATAAATCAAACCTCCTTCCCTGAACATTTATTACTTTATTTGGGTTTTTTAGGAACTGAAATTTGCATTCAATGCAAGTTAAACGGAACAATTTTGACTGTTCAAATGTACCACAATCTCAGTTCATATGAAGATCCTGTTTTCTCTTTAATCACAAATCATTTTAAAACAAAAGTTAAAGTAATTTCATTCTAGAAAATTGTTTAAAAAGTGACATGTTGAAGATGAAAGTATGGCTTGGGTTCCCAATGTCAGGCCAGAATTGATTCCCAGAACTGCCTTGGTAAATGGTAATACTGTGAGGCCCTCGGAGGGTGCAATGGGGAGGTGCAGGGCATGTGACCTCAGAGTGGAGGCTCCTGGGGGGACAGCTGGGCCATGTCTGCTGCCTCACAGGCCATCAGGGAGTAGGGGGATCTACTCTTCCTGGTTTGTCCAGGACCATCCCAGTTTTAAAACAAGAGTCTCAGGCCCAGGTACTTCCTCAGTCCCAGGTGAACTGGGACAGTTGGCCACCCCAGTCTGACCTGTCTCATGTTCCTCTGACCCTTCGGTCTCACCATCCACGCTAACCCCCGCCTAACCTACTCCATAGACTTTTCTTAAATTTTGTTTTTCCTTCCTTTACCTACATGGCAGAAGACAAATATAACAGAAGGAAAGAAAGTGACTGGGGAGAGATAATTAAGTGGGGTTGGAAATGATTGTTTCTTACAGCCATGGCCTTGGAGTTGAAGGCCCGGCCCTCACTCTCCTCCCAGGTCAGGACCTCAGCAGCAGTCAACACCACCCTGGGGCTCAGCAGCACCCTGGGTTTAGCGCGATGGCTGTTTTGTCTTCTTACTTTTACATAAATGTTTTTAGAAGCAGATGAACTGGCACCGTTGACACCATACTTCACTTCCTCTTCATACCCTTTCTTCTGTGGGGTGTAGAGCAGGTCAGGAAAGATGTTTCCCCTTTCCAGCCAGAGGAAATACATTTGCAATTCAAATGAACCCTAACAGCAAATTGCCCTTGCCTGGTACTTTTTTTAACGTAAAATTTCCTGGGGACAAGTTGTTTCTCATGACCATCAAAGTACCATACGCATATTGTTGCAAACCAGAAAAACAGAGAAGAAAATTTTGAAACGCACATATCATCTCAGAAGTCACTTTTTAAAAACACAATTGGCCGGGCGCGGTGGCTCAAGCCTGTAATCCCAGCACTTTGGGAGGCTGAAGCAGGCGGATCACCTGAGGTCAAGAGTTTGAGACCAGCCTGGCCAACATGGGGAAACCCCGTCTCTACCAAAAATACAAAAATTAGCCTGCAGTGGTGGCAGGAGCCTGTAATCCCAGCTACTCGGGAGGCTGGAGCAGGAGAATCACTTGAACCTGGGAGGCAGAGGTTGCAGTGAGCTGAGATTGTACCACTGCACTCCAGCCTGGACGACAGAGCAAGACTCCGTTCCAAAAATAAATAAATAAATAAATAAATAAATAAATAAATAAATAAATACACACTTAATAGCAACACAAGCAGTGGACACTTTGGTGAGCAGTACTTGTTCAGATGAGCCATGCTGTCTTTCAGCAGAGCCACCAGCTCCAAGGATGCTCCTCGGGCCTCCCATGCAGCAACAGCAGCAGCAACAGCAGGCACTGCATTTCCCTCATTGCTAAGTGACAGCAGTTCTCTCTGTGTGTGACACTGAATTCACCAGAGAGCCTGGCATCGATCCGACCAACAATCAACAAATTTTTGCAGAGTTCTACTCTGATGCAGGCGCAGGCACCCCCATCTTCGTGGACAGGAAATACACTGAGCTGTACCAGCAGGAAGAGCACGCTGGGGCGTGGGCAGCCAGGGGATTTCTCCTGGTCTGCGGAGGAAGGGAAAGCTCCTGGAGGACAGGGGATGTTGTGCTGAAGTCAAGACCTGAAGGCTGAGTAAGCGTCAGCCAGGGGAAGACAGAGAGGAAGGGCGATTCAGGCAGAGGGGGTCACCTGTAAGGAGGCTCAGGGGCCAGGAGCATCCCTCCCGAGGGCAGCGTGGGAGAAAGCCACAGTAGACACACCAAGGCCGGAGAAGGCCTGGCTGGAGCTGAGGATGTCAGGGAAGGAAGGAAGGGACAGAAAGGGCCAGGTCTGGAGGCCTGTGTGGAGGATTTTTGGTGGAGGCCCATGTGGAGAGGCAGTGGAAGGGGAAGCACTGGGTGTGTTGTGGGGAGGGATCTAGGCCACACACCCAGCAGTGCTTGGAAATCGATGACAAATGCAGGTGAAAATGAGGTCCCAGATAACAGGTTGAAGAAGGAGAGCACCAGGGGTCTGAAAGCAGAACAGCAGCCCCCAGGGCATGGCTGGCTTCACGGGCAGGTGAGCTGAGCCAGCGCATGGTTGGGCTCAGTGCTTGAGTAAATGTTGTCACCATCTTGAAATGCTTAGTAATATTTGAACAAGAGGTCATGCAGTCTCATTTTGCACCAGGTCTGCAAATTATGTAGCTGATCCTGCCCAGGGCTGAACGTTTTCCACAGATCTATGCAGAATTTCGCACAGCTAATGGTACGTGGACTCCATCCAAGGCCTCCAGATTTTTTGTGGATACCATCAGGCAGGACAGGAGTGTGAGGGAGGCTCACAGCGCCCAGCTCAGGGCCGATGGTGTCTGTGAGTGTGTCAGGGATGGTGTGTGGATAAAGTCCATCAGAGCAGTGCACGCATGGAAGACTTCCTGCTCGCCAGCCATGGAGACAGGAGACTGAGGGCATTTCAATAACATGAGCTTTGAGTTGGCTGCCTGAGTAAAACAGGAATTTTCCTCACCCAAGTTTCATTTACTTTAATAAGTCAAACTAAAGAAATTCCACAAGTTCAAGCCAACACCAAATGGGTAAGCTATTTGCCAGAAAATACTTTTTAAAAATGATTTATTGGCCGGGTGCGGTGGCTCACGCTTGTAATCCCAGCACTTTGGGAGGCCAAGGCGGGCAGATCACGAGGTCAGGAGATCGAGACCACCCTGGCTAACACGGTGAAACCCCGTCTCTACTAAAAAAAAATAATAATAATACAAAAAATTAGCCAGACATGGTGGCAGGCGCCTTTAAGTCCCAGCTACTTGGGAGGCTGAGGCAGGAGAATGGCATGAACCTGGGAGGCAGAGCTTGCAGTGAGCCGAGATCGCGCCACTGTACTCCAGCCTGGGTGACAGAGCGAGACTCCTTCTCAAAAAAAAAAAAAAAGATTTATTATTTTATTTGGCTAAGAATTTCATAGGATGCCTGAGTCTCATGCTAAACAAAATTTGCACTGAAAATAAAATTATTGTTGTAAAGGTTTAAAAGACAATTTGTGAATATACCTATGCTTATATTTATTTCAAGGAGAAAAAAAGAGAGAAGGCTTTACCAAAACTTAAGATGTAACACAATAAGCTCATTATTCAGGCAACTGTCTATAAATTCACCAGGATTGCTATGCAAAATATGATAGGCCTGTAGGCTCTGAACCAAATAGTTATTAGTTCACTATGAAATAAGAAAATAAATGACTAAGAATAACTTAGTCATTTATGACTAAGGTATGGATTTATGACTGAGGTATGGGTCATTTATGACTGAGGTATGGATCATCGTCATGAATTTCTTTAGGTGTTTTATATTCACTTACAGCAGACAGTGTCTATAAAATACTAAAAATTATAAGAACAGGAAACTTGGCAAGCTCTTCCAGATATTTACAAGGCTAAATCTTCTGAAGCCTAGTAATACAGTTAATAGGAAGAGCTTTAAAGCCATAGAGTTTTAGGTTCAAACATCAGCTCCCTCTTCAGCAAGTTGCTTAACCCACGGGAACCTCAGTTTCCCCACACACAAATGGATGTAATATCTACTTTACATTTATAATATATATGTCGTAATTATTCAATAACTTGTATTTTTAAAAATAGTATAGCTGCTAACAGGCAGTTAAATGTTCAGAGATGGTAGGAACTGGTTTTGATTCTCAGAAGAGAAGAGGAATCGAGGTGGAAAGGATGGTGGAGAATGAGTCAATGAGATAGTGTCGCCCAAGATGCACGCAGGAGGAGCTGCCAGGGACATATCCAGAGTGGGCTGGCTGGTAGGCAATTTTTTTTTTTTTTAAGATGGAGTCTCACTCTGTCACCCAGGCTGGAGTACAGTGGCATCATCTCGGCTCACTGCAAACTCCGCCTCCCAGGCTCAAGCCATTCTCCTGCCTCACCCACTGGAGTAGCTGGGATTACAGGCACCCACCACCATTCCCAGCTAATTTTTGTATTTTTAGTAGAGAGAGGTTTCACCACGTTGGCCAGGCTGGTCTCGAACTCCTGACCTCAAGTGATCCGCCTGCTTTGGCCTCCCAAAGTTCTGGGATTACCGGCGTGAGGCACTGCACCCGGCCCGGCAGCCAAATTTTAAGAACCAGGATGCTGGCTGAAGGATGGGTTGGGGGGACTCAAAAGGGCAAAGAGGAAGAGTAGGGGTGCTGTCATGGTCATCTAGCTTGATTAGGGCTGGAACTAAGACAGTGGAGTGGAGGACAGAGAAAACATGAAAGCTATTTTAAAAATAGGATAAACAGCCTAGATGTGGAGTGTGAAGGAGAGGACAGGGATGGGTCAAGGATTTCTGGGGTGAAGGAGGCAGTGGGACTCCCAGCAGGTAGGACTGTGTCCCCCAAAAGATATGTTCAAGTCCTAATGCCCAGTACCTGTGACCTTATTTGAAAATAGGGCCGGCCTTTGCAGATATCATCGAATTAAGATGAAGTCTTGCTGGAATAGACCCCAAGTGGGCCCTAGGTCCAATGATTGGCATCCCTAGAAGAAAAGAAAATGGGGGCCAAACACAGGGATGAAGGCCAAGTGAAAAGGGAGGCAGAGAGTGGGGTGATGCATCCGCAGGCTAAGGACCAGCACAGCCCGCTGGCAGCGCCTGAAACAGACGAGGTGAGGACGAATCCTTCCCCAGAGCCTCTGGGGAGAGCATGGCCACAACGCCGCCTTGGTTTTGGACTTCCAGCCTTCAGAACTGGGGGAGAATACATTTCTGCTGTTTTAAAGCCACCTGCTTTGTGGTAGTTTGTTATGGCAGCCCAGGAAACTAGTCCAGGGACCTTCCCTGAGATAGGAAAATACAGAAGTGTGAGGTTAAGAAAGTGTGAGGTTAAGAAAACTAGGTTAAGGCACATTGAGCCCAAGTAAGGAGCCTCAATATGGGAAATCTTTGGGTGGAAACACGTGGAGGCCACTAGAGCGTGGAGCTTAGGAAATAATCTGGGCTGGAAATGGAGATCATGGGGGAATAAGGGGTGAGCTGGAGCTGGACACGGATAAGGCCACCCAGGGAGAATGGTGGGGAGAGACGAGAAAGCAGACGACGGGAGCTTCTCCCAACGGTTCTTGGTATTACAAACTCGACATCCACATCTGAGGGAAAGTGATGATGTCGTCACTAAGGCAATTCCAGCTGAGATACTGGTGAGCATATTTATCCTCTAAACACATTCAGCCTCCATTGTTTCATGTTTACTCTCCTAAGAGAAGACACCTACAATCCTTTCTCATGTCATGCTTCCCTTAATCGTATTTTTTTTAATTAAGTAAAAGTCAAGAAGAAAACAACACAAATTGATCAGGAAAGAATATTCATTCACCTCAAATACTGACTGGGTCCCTCCTTGACTGCAGCCAGGGTGCTAGGCCCCAGCTACACTGTGGACACAGTGGACGGGTCCCAGCCCACTGCACAGAGGCAGCCGAGGTGCAGAGGTCACATGTCCAGAGGCACGTGGAAGAAGTCTGCAGTGGGGGTGGAGGTAGGTAGCAGGTGAGCCAGGCGACCTCGGCAGGAGCCAGAACAAGTAGGGCCTTGTGCACAAGTAAGAGGTTCAGCGTAAGTTTTCCTGAGGGCGATGAGAAGCCATGGAACGGTTTAAAGGGCAGCAGCAATATAAGGAGACATTTGCATGTCAGAAGACTTAACATGTGAAAAGCAAAACTGAAAGGGGCAAAATGCATTGCAAGGATGTCAGTTAGGGAGCTTTGGCTGCCGTCCAGGGAAGAGATGATCAATCCCCAAGATCAGGGAGGAGGCAACTGGGATGGGACAGTCTGAGCAGCGTCTAGATTTCCAGTACATGCACTTGATGGCAGGATAAGGTGCTGAGTTGGATTGGAGGAGGGAGGACGTTAAGAGGTGAAGGATGTCAGAGTATGGGGAGCCAAAGTGTTGTTTTTGAGCAGGAGCAGAGAGCAGGCTCCAGCGGAGGTGATGAGGTCGCCTGTGCACGTGTTAAAGGTGAGGTGCTATGGCACGATTAATTGGAGAAACTGCGAGTGAACAATTTGATATTCCTGGACACCCTCTCTGGAGTTTGGAGAACTGGAAGTCTGCACAGACCCTGAGATCCCATGAAGAAAGCGTCTGGACTGAACAGACGAGAGCCAACTTGAGATGAAGGTGCACAAGGGCAGAGGAGCCTGCCCAGGGGACCGCAAAGGGATAGGGTCAGAGAGAAAGAGGCAGACGCAGCCCAGAGGGAGAGGACCCAATGGAAAGGCCAGCCAAGCTGCACTGGGCTTGGCAGTGAGGAAGGGATTGGGAAAGAGACTTTCCAGGGGAGTGGAGGAGGTGGAGGAGTGGAGGAGGTGGGGGAGTGGAGGAGGTGGGGTAGTGGAGGAGGGATGTGGGAGGGAAGGTGAGAGTTGGGCTAGAAGTGAGAGGCTACAGCTGGAGGGGATGCCCAGGAGAGAAAGCATCTTTGTAAGTGGAACAGATGTGAGCATGAGTGGGTTCCACACTGGTGGGAGGAAGCCGTAGAGAGGAGGAGGTTGAAGATAAGGAGGGGGGCTTCCAAGGTGAAGTGGAGGGTGAGGGGCAGAGCACAGATGGGGCGATCTGCCTCAGATAGGGGGAGGAAGGCCCTGCGGTCATCGACCCACGTGTCTGCCTTAGGAATGGCCCCGTCTGCAACAGACAGGTCTCTGCACACCTGCCGGGGTCTCCTTCCTCTGGCATACTTGGGGGAAAGCTGGGAGGAGCGCCGGATCACATTTCCTCTTGCATTGGTCCATGCTGCAACCCCTCACCTCCGAAGCCTTCACATCTGCTGTGCTTTCTGCTCTCTTCGCTGCTCATCTCCCTTGAGACCCAGGACAAACCTCATCTTCTGAAATGTGCTCCACCCTCCCCGATGGCCTGGGGAGAGGGAGAGAGGGATCACACTTCTTCCCACTGTCTGTCCAAAGCAGGTGTGAGGCCTGTCTTTTAATTCCCCCTAGTCCCGTGAATGCAAGGCCAGTGGTCACAGTGCAGTGATGAGGCACAGCACCTCTGTCTCGTGCTATCCCAGTCTCAGGGAAGTCCTCAGTGGCTCTTTCCTATGGCAGTGGGTAAACAATGGGGAAGACAGTTCAGTTTCCCAGGGCCGGCTGTGTTGCTGATCAACACAAACGCCATGCAAAGACTTTAGCAGGGGCCAGGTGCAGTGGCTCACACCTGTAATCCCAGTACTTTGGGAGGCCGAGATGGGTGGATCACCTGAGGTCAAGAGTTTGAGACCAGCCTGGCCAACATATAGTGAAACCCAATCTCCACTAAAAATACAAAATTAGCTGGGCGTGGTGGCACACACCTATAGTCCCAGCCACTTGGGAAGCTGAAGCAGGAGAATTGCTTGAACCTGGGAGGTGGAGGTTACAGTGAGCCGAGATCGCACCACCACACTCCAGCCTGGGTGACAGAGGAGACTCTGTCTCTCAAAAAAAAAAAAAAACTTAAGCAGCAGGCTGGCTCTTGCTGGGAGCCTTGAAAGTTTTTAAAAAATCAGGACCCACTCCAGTTTTCTTTCAGAGAAAGAAACCGGATCTTTCTCCTCCAGGCCAGTCGTATGCCAGGAGGCTTGGCCCATTTTCCCTTGGTACCTCCACTCCGGTGGCCAACACCCCTCATGTCCTACCATTGACTGACTTTACAGTGCCCCAGCAGTTACCTCCATTTTTCCCCCAATTGCTTTTTACACTTGAAAAGCCAAGACATTTTCTGAAAGTAAAGAGCAGTCCCTCTCCAAGAGAAATTCTGCACTCCTTCTTAGAACAATTGCTTCAAACAGTAGCCACCTTCTGTTTTCATAAATTTGCCACCAGCACTATTATAAAAGGGCAAGGTGGGGAGAGATGGGGAAGACTTGTCCTCCCATGCTTTCTATTTTCTCTACTGAGTAGGAGACAAGATCACTTGCTGAAAAGGAGGAGAAAGGTGGAGAGTCATGTTTGAGGAGTGTGGAGACAGTTCTAAGTAGCTGCTACTGGGAATGGAAGAGAGGATGGAATGAGGGAGGTTGGGGACCATGGTTTGGCGGTGACATTGTCTGCCCCAGATGAACTCAGCACCCAGGTGTGCAGACAGAGAAGATACATTTAGCCAGAGTTAAGATTCTTCTAAGTGGATGAACAGAAGGAAAATGGAAACTGGAATTCAAGTTTTGACAAGAGGGAAATTGAAAAACCAGCCCATGGAATGTAGCTGGATTTGTGAATAGGGACCCTTGATTTTGAATAATAGACGCCAACCCATACTAGTACAAATTAAAAGGGAATTTAACTGCTAATAATTGGGAAGCACAGGGGCGACAGGAGCTAGGGGCTCAGATGGCATCATTGGGCCTCTCAATTCTCATTCCACCATCCAGCCTGAGGTTCCTCCATGGGCAGAATGAGAGGAGGCCATGGTCACAAGAACTCCCACTTGTATCACCCCAGGACAACAGCCACAGAGAAATGACACGTTCTCTCTCCCATTATGGAAAAAAAATCCTGGGGGAAGATTCTGTTGGGCCTGGCCTGGCTCACATGATTACTCCAGGCTAGGAAGGTGGACACTCAGGGGTGCAGCCCACAGGTCCTTAAGTTTTCAGTGGGGAAGAAACTCTCCCATCACATCTTGAAGAAAGAGAATGTTGCTACTAGAAGCAGGCACCAGAAAGAAACAACATCCACCCACCTCAAGAGAAGCAAATGAGGACAGAAGGAGGCTGAGAGATGGAAAGAAAGTAGAAAGCAAAGAGCCTGGTGATGGTTCCTGGTGGCGTGGGGTGGCCCCAGGTCCCATGGGCCTCTTAGGATGTGGCTTGGCTCCCGTAGGTTTGTTTGCTACAGGAGGCCTGGTCTCTGGTGGATGAAGGATGGTGGAGTTACTGCGAAAGCAAAGACATTGAGATGCAGTGGAGCCGGATTAGAATCTCAGGTATGATATTTACGGGCTATGTGCCTGAGACAAATCCTTCACTTCTCCGAGGAATCCACTCTTTATCTGCAGAAGGGAAATTAAAATAATTACATTATGGGATGATCAAGGGCATTAACCGAAATCAGATATTAAAATTCCTATAAAGTGTCTCAGTGCAAGCACCCAACAAATATTAGTGTCCCTCCCCACTGAAAATTCAAATTGCCAAGCCAGTGACTTTCCTTCAAGTTCTGTTACATAATGACCTTTAAAGGAGGCAAAAGCAGCCGGGTATGGTGGCTCACGCCTGTAATCCCAGCACTTTGGGAGGCCAAGGCGGGTGGATCACGAGGTCAGGAGATCAAGACCACGGTGAAACCCCGTCTCTACTAAAAAATACAAAAAATTAGCCAGGCGCAGTGGCGGGTGCCTGTAGTCCCAGCTACTTGGGAGGCTGAGGCAGGAGAATGGTGTGAACCTGGGAGGTGGAGCTTTCAGTGAGCAGAGATCACGCCACTGCACTCTGGCCTGGGAGACAGAGCGAGACTCCATTTAAAAAAAAAAAAAAAGGCAAAAGCAGTCAGTAAATTCTCAACAAGTATCAAAGTGAATGATGAATGAATGAACGCATATAAAATGAGGCCTCTTTTAAACAGTCATCCCATCATTAACAGAAGACATATTGCTCTTTTAACTGTGTTTTCTGTTGTTTCGGTGATGCCTGTCTTTAACACTGGAATAACTATACAGTGGCGCCCTTGTCTGATGAAATCATCAATTTCTGAAGGGTCAAGTTGCAGTATTTATCATCATGCTTTCTCTCCCCATTTTAGGAATTACTTTACTGCTAAAATGGGGAATGGCAAACCATCCAGTGAATTCCTCCTGCTGGTGCTGTTGCCAGCAGGTTGAGCCTAAAGGACTTGAAAGGCACTGCTGCTGCACCTGCAGTGGGATTAGCTGTCACGGCAGCCTCTGGAGTGGTAGGAACAGCTAAGTGGTGCTCCGTATGCAGCTGCTCTCAGCAGTCAGGTTTATTCACAGGCTTCTCCAACGTTTAGAGCTATGCTGAGCACTGACCACAGGTAAAGAGGCCCGTCCTCACCATTGTCAATGAGCCTATTACCCAATTGGGAGTTAGATCAGATTTTTTTTGTATTGATTTCCTATTACTGCCATAACAAATAACAGCAAACCAGAGGCTTAAAACAATAGAAATGTATTGTTTCCCAGTTCTAGAGGCTAGGAACTCAAAACCTCAAAACCAAGGTGTCAGCATGACCATGTTCTCTCAGGGGGCGCTACGGGAGGGTCCCTTCTTGCCTCATCCCAGCTTCGGGTGGCTGCCAGCAATCCTTAGCCTTTCTGGTCTTCAAGCTGCATTACTTCAGTCTCTGCCTCCATCATCACTGTGAATCTATTCGTGCCCAAATTGCCACCTTTCAGTATAAGGACACCAGTTACTGGATTAGGACCTACCCCAATTCAGTATGACTTCATCTTAATTTGATTACATCTGCAAATACCTTATTTCCAAGTATCTTTTGGGAAGGCAAAATTCAACCCACAGCACTTCCTAATGAATATTTCTTATATTCATGAAAAAACTGAGAGAGCAAGAACTAGATGCCACACAGGTGAAATTCATGTCAAATCCAGGGAAGAGAGAATTACCTTGAGTGAGGTGAGGGAGTAGTAAATCTTGAAGAATGGTTAGGAGTTAGATAGAAATGAGGATAAGGACATGTTATCATCATAAGAACCATTTCTTGATCATCTACTCTGCGTTAGACACTGTGCTGGATGCTTTGAATACATGATCTCTAATCCCCCATTGTCTGCAATCTATTAGAAAATGGATTCTGAAGATGTAACATGACTTTTTCAAAGTCACACAGTTGGATGGTGGTAAGGAGAGAATTTTTACCCAGGTCCAACTGATGCAAAAGCAATCTGGCTTAAGAACCAGTCCACTGCACTGCACAGGCTCCTAGGTGGAAACAGGGAGCAAAAATGTGATGCGAGTGCTATGAGTATGTTGAGTATGAGTATGAGTATGTTGTAGAGGATCAACATCACCTGTCTGGCCTGAATGACAGCCTCCTGCCGGGAGGGCAGCCGATGAGCTGGACAGGTAGGTCAGAACCACGTGGTGAAGGCTTCCCTGTCACAATCCCTGTCTAGGAGTTACTAGAATAAGGGAACCCTGGAAGTGAATTAGCAGGAGAGTCCTGTTTCCAGCTGCCAGTCATGGGACAAGGGGTGGAAAATATATGTGAGAAAAAAATGTGTATGTGTGTTACTCAGATTGCACATTGGAGACAATTGCTGTAATTCCTCAAGCTTTCAACAAGGACAAGGGAAAGAGCCAGCAGATGTGTTCAGGTCCAATTTCTGGTACTGCCTGGCCTTAGGCAAATCCCTTAGTCTTTCTGTGACTCAGTTTCCTCTTCTCCCAAAGGAAGATAATGATGCCTTCCTGAGCCTCCTCATGGTATCATTGGGAGAGCCACCAGGATAATGTGTTTGGAAGTATTACTACGGACCTAAGAGCCTTGGCAAGACGCTGTTGGTGGCCGTCTTGAAGCATGGACCTTCCCTGCAATTGCTTTGGAATTAATGAAAAAGACAAAAAGTTAATGTAAATGTCATTTTAAAAGACAAATAATGTAATTAGATTTGGATGTTCTGGTTTTTTCCTGGGTGGTGGGGAAGGGTCTACGCAGACAACTGTATGTGTTCGAGTCGCAGGGCCTGGGTTGGAGTCTCACCTCCACCACTTGAAAGAAGTGTTAAGATCTCTGTCAGTCTCTTGTGCTCTGAGTTTAATCTTTCCTACTGGCAAAATGGGTACAGTCAGTACACAGAGACTTCCCGTGAAGATTAAATTCAATCCAATATGTGAAGTACCTGATGTAACAGATATTTGATTAATATCCACTGTTGTTATTATTCTAGAATGTAATGAGTTTGCTTGTCTTATCATCTTCTTTTTCCAGGCACTGACAAGAAAAGTCTCCATTGCTCGGGGGAGAAACAAAGGGTGAGTAAGCTATTCTCTCCTTTGGGGAAAAAAAAGTCTGTCTTCAATAGTTTCCTTTGTGCAAATATTTGTTCTAGTCTATTTCGTTTACTAACAATGGGGCTGTTCGGAATGTGTAGTTTTCATGAGTTTCAGAGAATCTTCTTTATTCCCCTTCTCTGAGTTTTATTTGGGCTATGACATTCCAAGGGCCGGCTCTGAGGCCAGCCAGCCTGCAGACCTCTGGTGACAGGACCCCAAGGTCCCGCCTGGCTCTCCTGCCTGGCTCTCTCCTCCACCCTCTCCTAGTTCGCTGGGCTGCCTGGTGAGTAAGCCTCCTGCTCCGTCCCTGCTTACTTCATTGCAAAATGAGGGTGGTAAAAACATTTACTAACCTCAACAGGATGTTGTGGCAATTAGTGGATAAATAATTATAGAGCACACTCACATGTAATGCTCCTGATAAAGCTACATTTATTTTTAGGAGCTCACAAAAGGAAGATTTTCCTTCTGAGCGTCCAGGGGTGACTCTTGGCGTGGCCTGTGATTTGGCCTCTGGTTGGGTGTGCCTCCATCCTCCTAGGGACAGAATTCTGAACATCCCAACTACAGGCCCATTTCCCTAGAATGTAGCCTTCCAGGACCAGAATTCTCTCCTTTTCAGCAGCACTGAATGGATATCATAGAGTTGTCAGTTAAATTTTCCAGGACTCTCTGTTAAATTTGAATTTAAGATAAACAATAAATAATATTTTAGTAGAAGGATGTCTTGCTTCTCTTACTACTATTGCATGAATCATAATTATTCAAACAATTATTCATCATTTATCTGAAATTCAAATTTAACTGGACCTTCTTTTCTGTTTCTTTCTTTCTTTCTTTCTTTCTTTCTCTCTCTCTCTCTTTCCTTCCTTCTTTCTTCTTTCTTTCAATTTTTTGCAAAATCTGGCAAACCTAGGGGTCCACAGTGTTGTGTAGCAACCTCTCAGGACGATGACATTTAGAAGAAGCATAATGTGTACCTTCAAGGAAGCACAAACTTGTTCTTGGTGTTAATGTATGACATGCAATTCTGCACCCAAATTATGTAATGCTCCTCATTGAGGCAGAAGTCTTCAAATGGGACTGCTCACCTAGTCCTGCCTTCTACAGTTGTGACCCTAATAGTCAGGTAGTGTCCATCCCATGTGCCTATATGTAACAATATAGAGAGTGTTTCTTTAACTCTAGGACTTTGTGAAGATGAGAAAATGTTTGAGAAGGATTGAACCTCACACTCAGTAGCAGAATATTTGGTTGAACTTACACCATTCATGTTTTTCAAGGTCAAAAAAAAAATAGTCAACAGCAGCAATTTCACATGTTCAACCTATCCCTGCAAGCTCCCATTTGAGAAACCATTGCAGACACAGAGCAGGCTCTGCCGTCTGGCTCCTTCACCTCCGTCACCGAGCTGGATCTGCTTCTGGGTGATGTGACCACCTGCTCTGTTAGGACATTTGCTCTGTTGGGGCATGTACTCTGGTAGAGTGCTTGATTCCAGCATTATGCCCTTAATATGAGGTCTCAGTCTATGCTTATGTAATTTCCCAAGGTAGTGAGTGTTTACGAATTGACTTCAATGGAAGGAAGGCCTTGGTTCTTACAAAATTCTCTGGAAAAGGATGATTGTGGAGATTAAGTTCTGGTAATAACTAAGTAGCTTAGTAAGACTAAAGCCTGAAATAATTGAAATAATAAGGGCAATTTTTTGAAAAATATTTTAAAAACCTAGGGAGTGAGCAGAAGCAGGTAGAAACCGGAGTGGAGTTTATTCTTGGAAGATGAGATTTCGGAGTTTATAGCTTCTTTTATTTTTTATTTTTCTTGAGAGAACTTCCCTTACCACCGTCCCCCTTATAGGCAGAAAACATCAGCCTTACTGGCTTGAGGTAGATGTAATATATACAACAACAGTATCACAA
This sequence comes from Homo sapiens, assembly GCF_000001405.40. Lineage (NCBI taxonomy): Eukaryota > Metazoa > Chordata > Mammalia > Primates > Hominidae > Homo > Homo sapiens. The sequence goes on from NC_000006.12 coordinate 157,781,811, forward strand.
AGTGTATGTGTGTGTGTGTGTGTGTGTGTGTGCATATGTGCAGTGTAGGGCATCAGAGTATGCCACCCCAAAATATGCCACTTTGGCATAAAGATATTTTGAGCTAAAGGCAAATGAGAATCAACAGATGCAGAAAGAAGCCTCCTTGGAGCTTCCATTATCTGACTACAAACAGAATATCCTGAAAAATAGGACTGCAATAATCCCCCCTCCCAGGGGAGTTTTGTGGCCATGAGGACAGAGTCAGCACCAAGATGGGTCCGCATGTAGACCTTACTAAAAAACCCTATCTACTGTTAGTTTCCCCCATATATCTACCTTCTCACAGTTTGCCACCCAGAAAAGCAGAAACTCCTTTTTCTTGTCTTGTCACTACTCTAAAATTTTATTGTTCTTTGTTAAGGTGAGAAATATGGCCAAGTTCTAACCACTCCTTTGAGTTACTCATGACTGAGTTCTCCTGTGCGTATGCACACTGACCTGTTGATAAACTGTTTTTCTCTTGTTAATTTCTCTTGTTAATGTCTCTGTCAATTTAATTTCCAGAGCCCCAGATAGGGAACCTAGGAGGGGAGGGAGAGGATAGGTTATCCTCCCCAACAGAAGCATATGGAACTCTACTGCTATAAGGTTCTTATGAAGCATATCAAGCTGTACAATATTACCTCTAAGTGGATTGTGATAAAGTTGTGTATTGTAATCACTACAGTAACTACTAAAAAACGCAAAGAGGCAAAAATACTAGATGTTGTTATTTTTATAAATGTTAAGAAGATTTTATGTAAAAGAAGGTAGGGGCTGGGTGCAGCAGCTTACGCCTGTAATCCCAGCACTTTGGGAGGCCAAGGCGGGTGGATCATGAGGTCAGGAGTTCAAGACCAGCCTGGCCAAGATGGTGAAACCCCGTCTCTACTAAAAAGACAAAAATTAACCGGGCGTGGTGGCATGTGCCTGTAATCCCAGCTATTCGGGAGGCTGAGGCAGAGAACTACCTAAACCCCAGAGGCGGAGGTTGCAGTGAGCCAAGATCGCGGCACTGCAGTCCAGCCTGGCGACAGAGTGAGACTATCTCAAACAAACAACAACAAAAAAAGAAGGTAGAGAAGGGAAAATAGGGGAAATAAAAATAGATGAGAAAGTAAGAAATAAATATGAAGCCAGTAGACTTAAACCATATCAGACAAGCAAGATCTAATTATATGCTGTCTTCAAGAAAAGCATTTTAAATATAGACACACAAAAAGGATAAAAGCAAAAAGATGAAAGATGTTATTATGGAAATGATAAGCATAAGAAAACTGGGGTGGCTATATTACTTTTGGAGAAAATAGATAGCAAGAGATGGAGTATTACTAAAGAGAAAGAGAAAGATTTTATAATTCCAAAAGGTCCAATACATCAGGAAGAAATAATAATATACAGTACTTCAAACTACCTGCCGCAAAAAATGACAGAGATAAAGGAAGAAGAAGAAGATCCCCAATCATGATTGGAGATTTTCACACCTGCCTCTCAGGAACTGATAGAACAACTAGAACAAAAAACATTATTATCAAGAAAATGGAAGCTATGAATGACACTATCAACCATTTTGACTTCATAGATATTTATGAAACACCACATCTAACAAATGCAGAATAATCATTCTTAGCAAGTGCACATAAAACATTAACCACGGTGGAGCATTGTCATACACATCTCAGTAAATTTTGAAAGACTAACATTTTAAAGTATGTTCTCTGTCCACAAGTGAATTAAATTAGAAACCAATAAGATATCTAAAAAAGCATCAAATATTTAAAAATTAAACATTTTTCTAAATACCTCCTTCTTTTTTTTTTTTTTTTTTTTTTTGTGACAGAGTCTCACTGTCACCCAGGCTGGAGTGCAGTGGCTCAATCTTGGCTCACTGCAACCTCTGCCTCCCAGGTTCAAGCAATTCTCCTGCCGCAGCCTCCTGAGTAGCTGGGATTACAGGCACCCGCCACCATGCCTGGCTAATTTTTGTATTTTTTGTAGAGAAAGGGTTTCACCATCTTGGCCAGGCTGGTGTTGAACTCCTGACCTCGTGATCCACCCGCCTCAGCTTCCCAGAGTGCTGGGATTACAGGCGTGAGCCACCGTGCCCAGCCAATACCTCCTTTTTAAAGAAGAAATCACAAGATAAATTAGAAAATACTTCAAACCAAACAATAATAAAAATATGACATATCAAAATGTATAGATCATAAATGAGTAGAGAAAAAAATTACAACTTTAAATGTTTACATTAGAAAGAAAGAAAGGCTTAAAGTCAACTATCCAAGTATCCATCTTTAAAAAAAAATGAGCAATATAAACCCAAAGCAAGCAGAAGAAATGTCAGAATTCAATGAAATAGAAAATAAACAAAAATAGAGAAATATTTAAAGACAAATTTGATTCTTTGAAAAGGTTAATCAAATTAATAAACCCTAACAAGACTGATCAAGTAAAAATAAAGGGAAAAAATAATTTTTCAATATCATAAATGAGAGTATGGGATATCACTTCAGACCTTATAGTTATCAAAAGGAATTTTTTTTTTTTTTTTTAGATGGCGTCTCACTCTGTCACCCAGGCTGGTGTGCAGTGATGCAATCTTGGCTCACTGCAAACTCTGCCTCCCAGGCTCAAGCGATTCTCCTGCCTCAGCCTCCCGAGTAGCTGGGATTACAGATGTGTACCACCACACCCAGCTAATTTTTGTATTTTTAGTAGAGATGGGGTTTCACCATGTTGGCCAGGCTGGTCTCAAACTCCTGACCTCAGGTGATCCTCCTGCCTTGGCCTCCCAAAGTGCTGGGATTACATGCATGAGCCACCAAGCCCAGCTGGAAATATTATCAACAGCTTTATGTCAATAAATTTAACAACTTAAATGAAATTAATAGATGCCTTGAAAAATACAGCTTACAAAAACTAACACAGATGAAATTTTAAAAATCTGAATATCTTTATATCTACCAAAGAAATCAAATTCACACTCAAAAACTTTCCTACGCTGTTTCTCTGGCAAATTAAACACTTAAGAAAGAAATATACCATAGTGAACATTTAAGGAACATATTAAACATTTAAGGAAGAAATGATACCCATCTTACCCAACTCTTAGGAAATAGAAAAGAAAAGCAAAGGCCAGACGTGGTGGCTCACATCTGTAATCCCAACACTTTGGGAGGCCGAGGCGGGCAGATCACGAGGTCAGGAGTTTGAAACCAGCCTGGCCAACATGGTGAAACCCTGTCTCTACTACAAATACAAAAATTAGCCGGGTGTGGTGGCGGGTGCCTGTAATCCCAGCTACTTGGGAGGCCGAGGCAGGAGAATTGCTTGAACCTGGGAGGCGGAGGTTTCAGTGAGCCGAGATCGCACCACTGCACTCCAGCCTGGCTGACAGAGCAAGACTCCATCTCGAAAAAAAAAAAAAGAAAAGAAAAGCATATTTCTCAATTCATTCTATGTGGCTATCCTAGCCCTGATACCAAAACCTGTCAGAGACATTATTAGAAAAAAAGAAAATGATAAACCAAAATACCTTATGAATAAAGTCCTTAACAAGATATTAGCAAACCAAATCCAACAATAAAAAAGAAATAATAGATCACGACCAAGTGGGGTTTATTCCAGGATTGTAAGGTTGGTTTAACATTCAAAAATCAGCAATGTAACCAACTATATTAACAGAATAAAGGATAAAAACCACATGATCATTTCACAGATGCAGAAAAACCATTCAACAAAAATCAACACTCATTCATGAAATTTTAAAAATTTCAGTAATCTAGGAATAGAACTGATAAAGAGATCTATTGAAAACCTACAGCCTACATCATACTTAATGGTGATTTACTGAACACTTGCCCCATAAGATCAGGAAAAATGTAGAGATGGCCATTCTCACCATTTCTGTTAAACATTGTACTGGAGATCTGTGGTGGTCATGAGAATACACTTTGTACACCTGCTACTAAAGAGAATGTAATTGACCAAGGGCCCCAGCCATTGAACTCTGAAATTGACTGGAGTCACAGGACTCTGGCTTAGTGATATTCCTTGCAAATATTCCTCATGCAGCATAGCAGTCTAGAATGCTTCCACCTACTCGTCCTTCCCTTTCTCCTTTACTTTCTCACATCAGTATCTGATGGCTCCTCCAGCTTGTGGGAATCCCTCTGCATTTTGTATCCTACAGGCATTTTCCACAATAAAATCCTTGTTTTTTTAAGAGACAGACAGGGTCTCAGTCTGTCAGCCAGGCTGGAGTGCGGTGGCACAATCATAGCTCACTGTAGCCTTGATCTCCTGGGCTCAGGTGATCCTCCTGCCTCAGCCTCCCGAGTAGCTGGGATTACAGGCACTTGCCACTACATCTGGCTAAATTTTTTTTAAAATTGTTTGATAGAGACCGGGTTTTGCTATGTTGCCCAGACTAGTCTTGAACTCCTGGGATCAAATGATCCTCCCACCTCAGCTTCTCAAAGTGCTAGGATTATAGGCATGAGCCACCATGCCTGGCCGATCCTTGCATGTTTAATTCTATCTTTGCATCTACTTCTTGGAGCATCTGACTAACCCAAGGTGCAGTAAAATGATAAGGCAAGTGTAATAAGGCAAGAAAAGGAAATAAAAGACAAACAGATTGGGAAAAGGAAAGTGGAATGGTTCCTATTTGTAGATAACAGATCGTATATATAGAAAATCCTAAACAATCAACACAACAAAAATTATTAGAACTCATTAAAGATTTTAGCAAGGTCTCAGGATACAAGGTCAATATGTAACAATCAATTGCATTTTTATATACTAGCAGCAAACTATAAGACAATAAATTTTTAAATTTCATTTAAAATCACAATAAAAAACATGAAATACTTTGGGATAAATTTAACAAAAGATGTGCAAAGACTTTGACCCTGAAAACTACAAAACATTGATATAAGACTGTGCCTACTGAGTTTACAGCTCTCTGTGTCTCTAACCTGAGCTCTGCACGCTATAACAGAGAGGTGCTAGAACTATCTCCACTTGCTTTAGTCTAATAAATGATCCCCATTCCATAAAACCGTGGACATTCTGATGCTTCCCATGAAACATCATGACCTATCCCCAACCCGTGTATCAATTTGGGCTACAGGGTGCCCAGATATTTGGTCAAGTATTATTCTGGGTGTGTCTGTGATGGTGTTTCTGGGTGATAATAACATCTGAATCAGTACACTGAGGAAAGCAGATTGCCCACCCTGATGCGATTGAGCCTCATTCAGTTGAAGGTCTTACTAGAAAAAAAAGGCTGACCCTCCCCTGAGTAAGAGAATTCCTTCTGCCTGACTGCCTTGGAAATGGAACAACAATTTTTTTCCTGCCTTCAGATTCAAACTGAAACCATAGGCTCTTCCTGGGTCTCAAGTCTACCAGTCTTTGAACTGCAACTACACCATTGGCTCCTGGTTCTCTGGCCTTTGGACTCAAACTGGAGTTACGCCATCAGCTCTCCTGGGTCTCCAGCTTGCCAACTCACCCTGAGGATCTTGAGATTTAGCCTCTGTAATCACACAAGCCAATTCCTTATAATAACTCAATCTCTCTTTCTCTCTCTCTCTCTCTCCCCCCCACCCCTCTCTCTGTGTATATGTGTGTGTGTGTGTGTGTATTTGTGTGTATATGCATACACATATATAGTACGTATATATTTTTTCTGTCTCCTGGAGAACCCTGACCAATACACACTCCCAAGCAGCAGCAGCTCAGAAAAGCTCAGGGCATCATTATGTCATAATTTCCAACCCAAGACTGTATAGGTTACATCAACATTGGTCATTAATATCATCATTACGAATTCTGAGAATATGGGAAATATTCTATAATATTATAAATATATGATATAAATTAAATTTGTATAAATATTTGAATTCAAAAATAAAGTAGATTTCACTAATAGCTAATTATCATTTTTATAAATTACCAACTCCTTACATATTCTTAAGCTATAAATTCTGTAGCATAACTGAATGACCCGTGTTTTCATGAGACCTTAATATCCCCTGCAAATCCCAGCACAGTGCTGGATATAAGCAGTGTTCAATGAATCTTCATCAACTGGAATTGAGCCTTTTGTTTGAACATTACAAAGTTAGGAAACATAAACCAACTCTAATAATCAGAGCTAATATTATCGAATGCTTATTATCCAACAAGTACATACTCAGCACTTTGTGTGGCTATCTCAGTCTTCATAACAATCTTTGAATATTATTATTCCTACTATACAGATGAAGAAATTGATGATTAGCAAGGTTAAGTAACTTGTCCAAAGTTATATTGTTAGTAATAACAGAGAGAAGATACTAGAGATAAATCAGAAGCTCTTAATTTGGGGGTCTAGGGACACCCATATGTTGTCAATAAGCTTTCAAGGGTCTGAAAAACTATTTAAATATGGATATTAATTTTTTTCAAGGGAAAAAGCCTGGAGGTTCTTTTAGCAGTTTATGAACCTTAGAAGATGAAAGTCACTGTCCAGCTACAGGATCATAAATCATTGAGCTAAGGCATCAACAGTGAACTATGTCTGCATTGGCTTGTCTAGAAAGATTCCCATATTTCATTATTCTCATTCAAAATCTCTTATACTTGAAGCACAATTCTGAAGACGGTTAACTTCTTTTACAACTCAGAAAAATCAAAATTCTAAAAAGATGTTCTAGAACTAGTTTTCCCAGCACTTCTAGGTAGGGGAATGTTAGACCAAAACCCACTAAATATTATAGGGTGGTGGAATCATCCCTTATAATACAGATTTAAATAATCCTTCACTAAATTTTGCGACATAAAGTTTTGTCGAAAGGTTCACAACATACAACTGTGCTTTGTTTTCCTGGAAAAGCCCATTTTTCTGTAAATTAAGTTGTATGTTAAATGCTTTTAATTAGGTGGCATGATATAGTGGATGGAGGCTATAGGATTGGAATCAGAAATCCTGGGTTCAAATTCTCACTTGGGCATTTAATAGCTGTATCACTGTGGGCAATTTACTTACTTCTCTGGGTCTCAATTTCCTCATCCTCAAAATGGGGATAAGAACATTTACTTTATAGGCCAATTGTAAAGAATAAACAAAATAATTATGAAAAGGGCCTAATGATGTACCTCGTACAAAAGAGGCTCTCAAAAATTTTGTTTGGTGAAACCCCATCTCTACTAAAAATACAAAAAATTAGTGGGGCGTGGTGGCGGGCGCCTGTAGTCCCAGCTACCCGGGAGGCTGAGGTAGGAGAATGGCGTGAACCCAGGAGATGGAGCTTGCAGTGAGCCGAGATAGCGCCACTGCACTCTGGCCTGGGCCACAAAGCGAGACTCCGTCTCAAAAAAAAAAAAAAAAATTGTTTTTACTTAAGATTTGTCAACTATTTTCCAAAATAATCACCCCTAGTTCACCTTTTATATAAATTTATATATTGCCACAACAGGTTTAGAAGCAGTATATTGTGGAACAAGGGTCAGCAAACTTCTTCTGTAAAGGGATGGCTAGTCGATATTATAGATTCAGGAGCCATATGGTCTCTGTTAAAACACCCCAACTCTGCCATTACAGGGTGAAAGCAGCCATAGACAATCCATGAATGAATGTGCTGTGTTCCAATATAACTTTATTTACAAAAAGAGGCAGCAGGCTGGATTTGGCCATCCCGCTGTAGACGGCAAACTCTACTGTAGAAGAGAAGACTGTACAAACTTTGAGTTATACTGCCTGGATTCAAGTTCTGACTGCCATTTATCAGCTGTGTGACCTTAAGCAAGTTATGTAATATCATTGTGCTTCAGTTTCCTTATCCACAAAATAGGGATAAATAACAGTACTTCTTCATAGAGTTGTTGTATTAAATGAGTTAAGAAACCTAAAAGTCCTCAATAATCACAGAATAAGCGCTCAGTCTCAGTTATTATTTTAACTGAAAGCGAGTGGCAGCTTTTACATCGCTTAGGATTAAGTCCGAATGACAGAAACCCAAAGTAACAAAGGCTTGAACAAGAGAAGCGTACATTTGGCCCTCTCATCAGTTACGTCTGAGTGACCAGGGCAGCTCCACCATCCGCAGGGACCCAGGTTCCTTCTGTCTTGTTGCTTCACCAACTTCGACACGCGGTTTCCATTTCTGGGTCCACGCTGGTGTTCGCGTTCCAGCCATCAGGACCACTTTCCACACCGTCGCCAGGAAGGAGGAAGGCAGGGAGGACGGGTGCATCCACTCCCTCTAGAGATGCTGCACTCCCACGCCCTTGCCGCTTATTTACCATTGGCTAGAACCTAGTCACATGGCCACAGGGAGTGCAAGGGGAACTGGGAGATGTAGTCTTGTTCCGAGTTTTCCCTGGGGGAATTCCATTTCCTGTAAGGAGAAAAAACAGGTATCAAGGTAAAACCTGCAGTCTCTAACACAGCCTGACTTTCCAATACCCAGCACATTAAAATCAAAACCTTTAATTTAATAACAAGAGTAAAGAAAGGTAGCTGATGGGGGCACTTTGAAATAGGAAGAGCACCACAAAGAAGAGAAGATAGGGCAGCGCAGGTGATTTCCTCAAGATTTTGTTCATTTGTGGCCTGTTTGTTGTGAGATTGACAGGGAGGGTCTGGGGTACAAAAATCATATCCGACAGTCCTTATTTTCTTCCTCCATTTACAAAGGATTGAGAGACTGGCACACAACCCCACTCCCCCCACCCCCAGCCCTGTTTTCTGTATTCTCAACCTAACCAGGGCAGTAATAGATAAGGTAGGAGGTGGACTCGGTCCTTGGGAGGATTCAACTGGGAAGCTCTGGGATAACACAGGAGACCTGGCACTGCTTGTGAGCTCAGCTTTGACTCTATGACCAGGCCTTATCTCTGCAACCACAGCCCACCTCAGCCAATTGTCCTTGCATCCCACACAGCTTTGCCCTCCCTCTCATTCTGCTCTTGTGTTGTCTTCCAGAAGTTGGGTGTAGGGTTCTGGGAGGAAACTCCTTTGTCTTTCTGGTTCTCTGTTCTCTCCCTAAGTAGCAGGAAACAGAAGTAGCAGCAGCAGCTTTCAGAATTAGGTGCTTCAAAGGCTGAAACAGCTGAATCCATTAAAATCCTGTGGTCTGGCTCCTAACTGTTTCGATCATCATTGTTGGAACGGTTTGGGAACCCACTGGATGAGAACAAATTTCGTTGGAGTCACTCTGATGCATTTTAGGGCTGTAACTATGGGTTTTTTAGTAAGATTGTTTCTGGTGTTTCAGTTTTGTTTATAAACAGATTGTATCAGAAGGTTTTTGAGTGAGCATCTGTCAGATTCTTGCAGTTCTAGCTTATGCCATTGAATACTTTGACATCATGTATTTTTCACCTCCCAAACTGCATATGCAGGTTAAATTAATTCAGTGACTAAATTAATGATGATAGTCTTCTATTGCTATTGTCTATTCCATTCAGAAGAAAGTTTTGTAGTCTAGTACATACAATGGAAGTTATTTTTCCTAATAGCAAAGCAAAGAATAAACTGTCTCTTTCTTTGAAAGCCAATTAGTCCCCTCTGCAACTATCCAATCAGTCTCCTGTTTGAGTTGGCTGAAAATGCCTGAAATAACCATAAACCATAGCACCTAGGACAATGCCTGGTCCTTGGTAGGTTTTCAATAAATGTATCTTGAATAAATAAATGAGAATCATGATTTTGCTTATGAGTATTTTTGAAAAGCTGTGCCCATCCTCCTCAACAAATACTTCTCTAGCACTTGGCAATGTGACACCTTTCTTCTCCTTGGCACAAACTGCAGGTGTTACAACAAAAATGTGGCAGGCTGTTAAGTCAGTCCAGAGCAATTGGTAATTAGCCCACATCAGGGCAACACTTGATATTTCCAGCAGGACAAGCTCTTGCATTGCACGGGGGTAATGATTGTTTTTCTCTTACGCCTTTCTCAGCTTGGATTCATTACCTCATCAACAAGTTACTAATTATTAAAATTTCCAGTCAACATGAGGGATACCTATTGGTATGATTATGAAGGAATCATTTAACAAGAGGTTTAGAAAAAATAATCCAGCAGAAAGCTAACCCCATTGAAAACACTTGAACCCTGGAACATTTAATTAAGGTGATCTGGAAACACAAGAAAAGCAAAACTCCTTCATATTGTTGCTTGTCTCTTTGTTTTGGATTTCCGTGGGATCCAGTCCTTTTGAATTCAGTTATTTTACTTAATTAATTTATTTTTCTAATTTTACCCCTCCCTCCCTCCTTCCCTCCATCCCTTCCTTCCTTCCTCCCTCCCTGCCTTCCTTCCTTCCTTCTTTTTTTTTTGATACAGAGTCTCACTCTGTTGCCATGTGGAATGCAGTGGTGCCATCTAAGCTCACTGCAACCTCCGCCTCCCGGGTTCAAGCGATTCTCCTGCCTCCGCCTCCAAGTAGCTGGGACTACAGGCGCGCACCACCACACCCAGCTAATTTTTGTATTTCTAGTAGAGATGGCGTTTCACCATGTTGGCCAGGATGATCTCGATCTCTCGTCCTCGTGATCTGCCCGCCTTGGCCTCCCAAAGTGCTGGGATTACAGGCATGAGCCACTGTGCCCAGCCGATTTTTTATTTTTTAATTGACAAAAATATATATCTTTATCATGTACACTATGTTGTTTTACTACATGTATACAATGTAGAGTGGCTAAATGAAACTAACATGTGCACTACTTCACATACTTACCATTTTGGGGTGAAAACACAAAATCCACTCTCTTAGCAATTTTTGAAAATATATTTTTATTAACTAAAGGCACCATTTTCTACAATAGATCTCTTAAACTTAATCCTCCTGCCTAGCTGGATTTTGTATCCTTTGACCAACATTCTCCCCAGCTGGCCTCCCACCTCTCCCCCAGCCCCTGGTCCTTCATATTATTAAGAGCCCTTCAATGCTCAGTGTTTTAAAAGAGCATGTGTTAATTATTTAAAGTATTTAGTGTGTTTGTTTTGGCTTCAACCTTGTCCAGTGGATGCTCAGAACTTTTTCACTTCCAGCTATTGTTCATATATCCACCCCGTGCCAGCCTGATGATACCAGAATCACTGGGTTTTTCTGTTGTTGTTGTTGTTTTTGTTTTTGTTTTGAGACAGTCTTGTTCTGTTGCTCAGACTGAAGTACAGTGGCACAATCTCAGCTCACTGTAAGCTCCACCTCCCGGGTTCAAGCAATTCTCCTGCTTCAGCCTCCCTAGTAGCAGGGATTACAGGCATGTGCCAGCACACCCAGTCAGCTAATTTTTGTTTTTTGAGTAGAGACGGGGTTTCACCACGTTGGCCAGGCTGGTCTCAAACTCCTGACCTCAGATGATCCACCCGCCTCGGCCTCCCAAAGCGCTCGGATTACAGGCGTGAGCCCACGCACCCAGCCTTAGAATTACTTTTGATAAATACCAAGTAGGAGGCATTTTATTGGCTTCAAAATAGAAGTTAATGTCTTCACAGCTGAGGAGGTCCATTTCTGAAACCCAAGGACCTTGGCTTTGGAGACATTCATGCTATGCCAAAAATATTCCCCATCCCCCGCCAAGTTTTTATTCATTCCCTTTCATTGTTTTGTGTATGTACCAACTTCTTCCCTCCAACCAGATCTTTTTTGTTCCCTCCAACTAGTATCTTCTTTTAAGCATCTCATATTCCTGGTCTTTTAAAAAAAGACAATATATATATAAGCTAAATACTAATTTTCTAAAGTAATTCACTCAAAATATCTAATTAATAGGATGCTAGCGAATGCTGGTCTTTTACAAAAAGCTAAGTTCCTTAGCAAGCAGGACTTGGTCTTGCTCATGCTTGCACCCATCCTGCCTCAGCAACCCCAGCACCTTGCACAATTCTTCATGCACCTAGCAAGTCTGCAACAAATACCTATGAAATAAAAGAGGAGACATGACCATCAAGCAGTAGTTCCTATTTTCTTGTGTGGCTTATAACCTGATTTGAAAGTACTTACAAAAATATTTTGAGGGGTGGCCCCATCAGGTAAATGACCACATGGCTCCAAGGGGTCTGCTTTGAAAACAGCCTCATGTGAAACCCTAAGACCTGGTATATTTGTTGGGGGACAAAAATGGTTTTCTTATTTTGCAGACATTTGGCTTTATGAAATTTTAGAATATTAAAAGTATATCTTGTTGGTCAACTAGGCTAAGCTTTCTCGTGAAGAAGCTGATATGGTTTGGCTGTGTCCTCACCCAAATTTCATCTTGAATTGTAGCTCCCATAATCCCTATGTGTCATGGGAGGGACCCAGTGGGAGGTAATTGAGTCATAGGGGTGGGTTTTTCCCCTGCTGTTCTCATGATAGTGAATAAGTCTCACAAGACCTGATGGTTTTATAAAGGGCAGTTCCACTGCACACGCTCTCTTGCCTGCCACCATGTAAGACATGACTTTGCTCCTTCTTCGCCTTCTGCCATGATTGTGAGGCCTCCCCAGCCACGTGGAACTGTGAGTCTATTAAACCTCTTTTTCTTTATAAATTACCCTGTCTCAGGTATGTCTTTATTAGCAGCATGAAAACGGACTAACACAGAAGCTAAGGCTCAGACAACTTACAGAACTTATTCAAGTCATTAGTTCACAGTAAAGGCAGGGCTAAAGCCAAGTCTTCTTACTCCCTAAATCACTTGATATTAATGATATTTTCTTGAACTACTACATTGTTTTGTCCATAGAGACTGCTAAAAACGAACACACAACATCTTTATATTTTATTTATTTATTTTGACTAGGAAATTTTCTTGAAGAATTAGTAAGAGAAGTCTTATTTCTGATAGGCCATTACATCTAAAGATTTATAATAAAAGAGAGTTTCTTTTTCTGACCCAGATAAACTTAGCAAACATGAAATACATAAAACATAAAACTCTACTTATTCTCTAGCTTCCTATTAGCTAGATGTTTTAAATGACTTACTTTTAAAAATTAGTATTTAGCTTATATTTATATTGTCTTTTTTTAAAAGACCAGGAATATGAGATGCTTAAAAAAAAGAGACTAGATTTCCCCAGATGCAAGGTGAGAATATTGTCCTGCTCAAACTTCCTCCACCAAAAAAGGAAAAGATTTGGAAGAGCAGAATTTAAAAAAAAAAAAAAAGTAGAAAATTGAAAGGAAATAGATCAAGATGAATTTTAAAATAAAGTAAACTGATCAACAGAGACTAGAAACTGAACAATCATATGCAGTATGTGCACCTAGTTTAGGTCCCATCAAACCAAATATGAAAATGAAATATAAAAACACATCTTGAGGCGGGGCACGGTGGCTCATGCCTGTAATCCCAGCACTTTGGGAGGCCAAGGCGGGCGGATTGCTTGAGGTCAGGAGTTTGTGACCAGCCTGGTCAACATGGTGAAACCCCATCTCTACTAAAAATACAAAAATTAGCTAGGCATGGTGTAGTGTGCCTGTAGTCCCAGCTACTCGAGAAGCTTAGGCAAGAGAATGGCTTGAACCCAGGAGGCAGAGGTTGCAGTGAGCCAAGATTGCGCCACTGCACTCCAGCCTGGGCGACAGAGAGAGACTACATCTCAAAAATTTAAAACTTAAAAATTAAAACATATCTTAGGGATATTTTAGAAAACTTGAATGTGGATAGGGTATCAGATATTGTAAAAGAATTATGTTGTTAATTTTGTTAGGTATGATGATAGCATTATGATTATATAAGAAAATATCCTTAGGTTTTTGAGATGTACAGTGATGTATTTAAAGGTTAAGTGTCCTGATGTCTGGGGCTAGTTTTAAAATACTTCAGCAAAGGGGAACATAGATGAAACATGGTGAAATATTAACAATTGTAAAATTAAAGTGATAATTTTATAGTAATTCATTATATTATTCCCTCTGCTTTTACACATAAACTTGTTATAAACTTTCATAGGAATAATGCCAAAAGCACATTTGGGCAAAGGGAACAGTCTTCCCAATTTAACCTAAGTACAATTTCAATGTTGGAACAGCGTCTGGGGTGGTATAACACTAAAAATATCTTTGACGTAGAGGTGCAAAGCTAGCCAGTTACTGGACAAAAGTTATACTTCTTATCTTCCTGTAAGTAAAAAATTTTAAATTTAAAACTACGAACAAAATCAGTATTTTATTTAAAGAGGAAGTGTGACTTGACGAATTGGCATTTTAGGAATAAAGGAAGTCAGAATCTGAAGTCACTCCCAGGAAGGATCCACATGAAATTACAGCCAACGAGGTCTGTCAGGATGCCTTTAACCCATGGATTTAAGTGATCTTTTTTTTTTCTTAATTATTGTTCCTGTCTTCTTCAGTGCTTCCTTCAATATAAATATGCTCGCAATGCTGTTTCTTGGATAAATCTCACACATGTTATTTCCTTAAACTGCCAACGGAATGGTGTTTGGACTATTAGTAAGGAGTATAGCTTTTTTAAATTTATATTGGATCTGTCAGACCAGAGAAGAGAGGTGTGAGTCAGGACAGGCCAGGTTACGACGTACAAGTTAACCTTGAGAATCTCAGTGGCATTAAAGTTCATCTCTCACAAAAACTCTACTGTTGGTCAGCAAGGCAGTGGGGGAAGAGAGGGGAATAGACTGGGTGGGGAGCCAGGCTGCCAGAGGATCCATCTGGTGGCTGCGCCATCTGGAACTTGCCACAGCAGGACAAGAGAGACTGGGGCTTCTCGACAGTCACTTTTGCTCACTTTCCTTTGGCCAGAACTGGTCACAGGATCCCACCTAACTGCAAGGGGGCAAAGAAGTGTGGCCTCCTATATGTCAATGAAGGAAAAGAGAACCATGTTTCGGTGGGCACCCTGTTTACTTCATTGTCATTACATGCTGCGTAGATGTATTGATCATCCATCTATGCAAAAACTATTTGTTGAGTATCTATTACACACAGGCACTATTCTAGGTACTGATGACAATTCAGGGATTTAATTAAATGGCTGCATTCCATAAAGGCGAGTACACAATAAGCTCAGCTCTTTTCTTGCTCACCAGAATAAAATATAACCCCAAAGGACAGAGATAAAAATCTGTTTGCTGATATACACATAATACATATCTAGAAGGTATTATATATTATAAATACTTAAAAAAATTTTAATTACTATCAAAGATGATTATTGGAGTGTCCTAGCTGTGCTCCTACTGTGTAATCTCTGTAAGCCTCAGTTGCCTCCTTTGTAAAATGGATAAAGGGATAATATTATGTACCTTAGAGAATGGTTGCAAGAATTAAATGAGATGATGCATGTAAAGGCCCACAGTACCTGGCACACAGCAAGTGCTCTGTAAATGTAAAATACACAAGTAATTTCTAATTAAAGTTAAATAATTTAAAATAACACAAAAATTGAATTTAAATTGTTAGGAAGCATCCTTCCTTCCTGCCCCCCTGTCATCCATGTCTGGGAGCATAGTATAGAGTACTGGAAAGAAAAAAACTAGAATTAACCCTGTGGTGTTAGATTTGGAATTGGAAGTATCGGTATGAATTCAGTTTTTAATATACACAATAGTAATAATATAAAGCATATGCTTTGACATATGGAGATAAAGAAATGAAAATAAATGTAAATGTCTGATACATATGTGGTTGTATGTGTGTGTGTAGATAGATACATCTATAGCTCTATTTTTATTTAAATAATAGATAGATCGATTGTCTAACTCTTCCTCAGAGCAATGATACCCATTCACAATGTGCACACCTAGAGTCTAGACCTTGGTTTCTAAATATCATTCTTTACTAAAAGGATTCCAAGGTTCTTGGGGAAATGACTGATTCCAGGGTTGGGGCAGGGAAAATACAAGATGGGCCTGGAATATCTTTTGTGCCAGAAAATAGAGAAAGGCTCATTGAAGGACAGAAACATGTTAAAAGCTCATAGAAACCAGTTTGATGGGCCTCACACTGGACAAATCCAGGACAACTTGGCATCAAAATAAGTAACTATAGTAAGGGATGATAGTCCACTAAATAAAATAGGAATCCGGAAGTCTATACTGATGCAATGAGATGCTACAATAAATAAGCGTGGGGAAAAGAAAGCTTTTCTTACAGTGAAATGCTAACTAATAAATGTACAAGGGATGATGGAATTAGAAAATTGGTATTTGGCAACCTAGTAATTATTAATGCAACCAGCAAACACCAGTGGATAATAAAACTAGTGGGTGAACATTTAATGAGGGATG